>NC_000009.12:107008430-107159945 GCF_000001405.40 Homo sapiens
TTATTAGATGGGGCATTTCAACCAGGAGGCATCTTCCTGTAATGTCTTGTATGTGTGGACCAGAGTGATCAGAGTGTAAAGATGATCAACACTTCCCTGTGCGATGCCCTCACTTTGCAACACGGCTGCAGAACTGGCAAGGTCCTGCTGTTTATTACCTACATGAAGACTTGGCCCTCTGTGGTATAATGAAACACATATGGGCTAGGAACTCGGGCTAACACAATGGCCATATAATCTCTTATCTTTGAGTTTGCCAGGAGACGTGGCCTGAAAACAGTTAAACAGCCAATCCACATTTATCAGACTTCTACCATGTGCCTAGTACCATGGAGGAAACAAAACAACTAAGTCAATATTTGATGTTTACAACAGACCGTCCAGAAATGTCTGCATATCCCCGTATTCATGAATACCACCAATTGAGGGGTAGGTGCCAGGCAGCTGGCCAGGATCTCTCAATAGCAGGGGACATGTGTTCACATACTGGTTCCCACTCATCCAGATAAATGTTCATGGTAGATTCTTCGCTTGCAGATCTCATTCAGTGCACATAACCGCCCTGTAAGGTATTGATTATAATGTCTATGATGGATGACCACAAGTCATGAGCCTTCAGCCTTACTTGGAACAAGTAGAAACCCTGAGGTCCACAACACATAACCTGGTCCAGGGCTTTCGGTAGCCTATGTTCTTTTCAGTGAACAAAGATAAACCTGTGTCAAAAAGGAAATGAATAGATGCTAGCCTGTGAGGCACTGATATAAATCATCACACAAGGGAGAGAATAAATCGGAAAAAATAATGCTCAGATTCCTTTGGAATCTCGGGCAAGCGGCTCTTCAGTCAAGAAAGACCCAGATTTTGTGATAGAAGCATTGGGGAGGTGAGGCGAAATGAGGTCTTGGGGCCCAAGAACCAGAAACAGTTCTCGAATGCTATTCAAGGAATGCCCTAAGGGGGAAACCTAAGAAAAAGTGAGGAATCTGGAAATTGCTTTCACCACATGGCTTTATCAGTGAAGGTAGGAGAGAGGGTATCCTAATGAATGCTGACTTACCTATTCTGCTGATTCCCACAGCACACAGGTAACACTTCTGCTTTCTCTTTGCAGAGCTGATGAGATTTTCTGACCACGGGGCTGCTCTTAACACTGAGAAGCGTTTTCCATGTGAATTTTGTGGACGGGCGTTTTCACAGGGCTCTGAGTGGGAAAGACATGTGCTGAGACACGGCATGTAAGTTGGGCCACTTCAAGGATGCCTTTGTCCAAAGCAAGAGGTAGGGAGGGAGGGAGGGGCTCTTGTTTTGGTTCCCCTGACAGTATGTACACCCCTCTGTGTCACATTTCTGGGCCGTGGGAGGAGAGGCAATGGTGAGGAACCAAGTTTCTCCTTTTCTGTTGTTTTTTAAAATGGTCACCCAGCCGCAAGTCAAATAGGGAAAAAAATCGTCTTTATGAATGATCAGTCCTGCTCAAGCCTGTGTGCAGAAGTATAGTGTTTTCTCCAGCCAATATCCCTTTAGTCTTCATTAGCGTGACATTCTATAATAGAACGTGAATCGAGGTCAAAAGATCTGGCTTCTGTTCCTGCCTCTCTGACTGATCATTCCCTGAGTGGCCCTGAACATTCCCATGTACTGC
The DNA here is from genome assembly GCF_000001405.40 of Homo sapiens. Classification (NCBI taxonomy): domain Eukaryota; kingdom Metazoa; phylum Chordata; class Mammalia; order Primates; family Hominidae; genus Homo; species Homo sapiens. Next base: position 107,010,076 of record NC_000009.12, read on the forward strand.
CTCGGGGACAGAGCCAGCTTCTGCCTGCCTCCCAGGTAGGTGAGAGCATACTTGTAAAATACTTATGAGATCCCTGAACATAAAATCAGCCCCTCAACAAGGCACGTTAGTCCACCAGATGCAGAGAGAACCTAGGATGTGGTCTTTTCAGGAGGAAACATGGCTTGTGTGGTGATAGGAAGCCTGAAGCTTGGTCCCTGAAGCCTCAAGGGTCTAGACCTCAGAGAATATAACCAAGCTTCCCGAGACATGGGTTCCATCTTCAGGTTTTTGTTTTTAGTTTGTTTTCGTGATTTGTTTCGGGACCTGACAAATAAATCTTTAGTACCTGAGTTACTCTTTTAGACTTCATAAATATAACCAATCTCCAAGCTTCTGGGTTCAGCCGATGACTCTGAGCATAAGACAATTCTTGCTGTTACCACTTATGACCCAGTAGAGAAAGTGACATAAAATGATTATGCTTATCTAGAAAGAAAACATGGGATAATCAATATATAGTATAATAATGGATACTTCTGTAAGTTCAAATCTTTAAGATACAGAAATATATGACTTAAGCAAAACATAGCAGGGATGCATCACTTGGTATTTTGTCATACACCCATGGCATTTGTTCAAAGGAAACCCCAAGGCTTTTTGAGGATCAGGAAAATAAAGACACTCGAGGGTTTTTATTATTTTTTTGTTTAAAAAGAGAAATATATATACTATACTCATCTGTCTCTTCGATAAATGTTTTTCCAGGGCATTGAATGACACCAAGCAGGTGAGCAGAGAAGAAATCCACCCAAAAGAGATCATGGAGAACAGTGTTAAAATGCCCTCCATAGAGGAAAAGGAAGATGACGAGGCCATTGGGATAGACTTTTCCCTAAAGAATGAAACAGTAGCCATCTGTGTAGTAACTGCCGACAAATCTCTCCTGGAGAATGCAGAGGCCAAAAAAGAATGAGCGTTTGGTGAAATTCTTAATCAAACCTTACTTGAACAGTGATGAAAAAGTGGGAGGGCTGGCTTGGGCTGAGAAGGGAGGGACAGAAAAGAGAAGACAGAACAAAGCTGCTTTTTAGGACTGAACAATCTATTTTCAAAGCACTGGTACCTGTGTGAGTGAGTATGTAAATTAAAGTTATTTAAATGGTTGGAATATGTGGCTCCTTTTCCATCACTACATCTTTTCTTCCGGATCTTCATCATGGAAGTTTCATTTGTTGCGGAATATGGAAGCACCTCCCAATGGTACGGTGCACCCTGTGGTGGTCTTGGACAGTATGTGGAAACAGAAGCTCCATGACGGTAGAAGACTTCTCATTGGGGAGCAACTTTTTGACGCACAACTTTTGGTGCGTTTTTCTAGTTTTAATACCTTAAGCTTTTTCAAGACCTAACTGCAGCCGCTTTGGGAAAAAAAAACAAAAAACAAAAAACAGAAAACAAAAAAAAAAAAACTGCTTTGCATAAAACAGTCACCTGTTTCCTAGTACCTCAAACTTAACCAAGGGAACTCTCTGCATTTGTCAGTACTACCTGTCGTCGTTGTGGTTAAATGTAGAGAGAACTGCTGGGCAAGATGGTGAATGGAGAAAAAAAAAGAGTTTTAAAGAAAGGAACACAAATTGTGCTTAAAATCCCCATGTGGGTTTTATTTCTTAAAATACTGTGATTTTTTTAATTATTTTAGTAAAAAACAAAACAAAAAAAAGAAACAGACTTTAATTATTAGATAACTGTTTGTGAATTGTCATCCTTTATTCCAGGTAAGCTGTTTATTAGTGTTCAACTATAATTTAGAATTTGGTAGATTCATGTGAGCTAATTTTAAGGTGATTGTGGAGTTTTGTTTGCCACATGTTTATTTTCTATCAATTTGAGTGTTACAAACACAGCACAATTCAGTTTTTCATATGAATTGTTTTTCGTGTGTGTGTTGTTATTGTTGTTTTAATTTCGGGGCAAGGGAGATTTAGTTTTTTGTGAATAGGAATGTTTTTATTTTAAACATGGAAATAACAAAGAAGTTAACTTTCTTTTTTTTTTTTTTTTTTTTTTTTAATTTAACTAAAGAACCAAACTTTCGGCACAGCTATGCAGCTTGTGGGCCAGACGAGGAGGTCCTCCTCACCCTTTTGTTGCCTGTCAAATTCACGCATTATCCGTCTCATAAATAATTTCTGTTAGGATTGGCTGGCTTTTGTGTGTGATTTTAAAATCTGTGTTTTGTTTCTGCTGGCATTGTGTTTTGTTGGGGGTTTTCATTTATTTAGGGGACGAGGGGATGTACTAGAATCCCATCCCTTTCGTGAGAGTGGACAAGAAATAACATATCCTACAAGGAGCCTGGAGAACTACTTTCTTTCTTTCTTTTTTTTTTTTTTTTTTTTTTTTTAAATCTAGCTGCCAGCTGCTCTGTCCCCCATATCAGCTTTTTCAGGAGGGAGCAGCTTAGACTAAATCTAAGCCTACATTTATAATATGTTCTGATTGTGAACAAAGGGTTTCGTTCCAAAAAATAGAAAAGAACTTTTCTTGAAGCCTAGGTTTTAGAAGCCCGTGTGTGTGTGTGCTTGGATGTGTGTGTGCGTGTATGAGTGTGTGTGTGCATGTGTGCACGTGTGAATCCTTTGGTTTTCATGTTTTTTTTTTTTTTTTTTTACTTGGAAGGGTTGTGGGAGGGTGGGAGGGAAGAAAGGGAAGGGGAATTGCTGAGATGACAGTGTCCCACACAGCTTCAAATAAAATCCATGGAAAGATGTTGCATTTGTGGAATAAGTGCTTACTTGAAAAGCATGTTCTTCTTTTATTTTCTTACTGTTAAGAATTTTTATTTGTAGGATGTTTGTTTTAATTTAATTTTTTTAAGGGATGGGGGCCATCATGTGGAAACCAGAAAATGGGGAAAGTGTGAACTATCCAGACAAAGATTCATTTTGTGTCTATATTTGTTTTTAATTGGCCTCATTTCAAATGTATTAAACAGTTCCATACCTGGATTGGGTGTTTGTAATGGTTACCAAAAAACAAACAAAAAAAGAAAGAAAAAGGAAAAAAAAAAAGAAAATAATTGTGACATGCTTTTATCACTACTTTATTTTTCAAATAACATGTAAATATTGTAATCCATTGGATTTTGTTTTGCTAACCTGTTAATAAAAATATGGGACCATTATCCTTTTAACAAGGCTAGAATGTCATTTTTTTCTTTTTCAAACATATACCTGATATTTTGTGGCCGCACATTTTGGATGCATTATTATAATTCTGTTGACTGTAATGACATAGAATTTACAACATTTTTTGTTGTTGTTTAATTTATACAGAGGACATTTTTTTCAGAGCTTGAGAGAAGAAAATAAATAGCAAAATGATAACCTATTGACTCCAGTAATCAGTGTTTCCCAATACTTCATAAGAGATAGGGAGACCCTGAGTCCTTGAAGCCAAGGGTTTAAAAACAAAACAAAAACAAAAAAAACCACAAGTAGGTTATTCAAGTTGTTTGCAACATACATTTTGTAATGAAATGTGAGAAATTAATAAAGAATTTTTTTCACATGTGTCTATGTGCATCTGTTGTAAATCATTTACAGATATGACTACAGATATGAAATCTAGAAATATTATAGCACTACCTTTCAATGCTTGTACACGAGATATTTTAAGTCATTGAATCTACACAGGTATGGAAAGCAAAGGTAAAGCTGAGGTGAGGTTGAGGTTGAGCTGGGATTTTCAAATGTTAATATTTCTGCATCAGGTATTCATCACCAACTGAGGGAGTTTTAGGGAAGGAATATTTTCCATCAAAAATGTGAATCAAAGTGATGTGTGAACTTCAGAAGGAGGAAGCACCCGTGATTAAACATCATCTGGGACCCTGAATCCACAAGCACAGTCATTTTAAGCTAACTGCCAAGTCACACCCACTGCACAGGATCTATTTCAATGTTGCCGTCCTTGCTTATGAAAGCCTGCGCCACAAACTATCTTACTGAACATCCTGCAGCCATAATTATCACCATTAACTTATTCTTTGAGCTACCCTGTTATAAATCAATGGAAAAATTAATAGTCCTGAAACCTAGAAGAAAAGTAAATTAAAACCAACAGCATTAATTATTAACTCAAAGCTGAGTTACACTATCTGCCTCTACCAGTGTTAGAAGTATGGTTCCTGAATCATTTGTTCAGTGTTCATTCTAAAAACTTGGTTCTAACCCTTCCTCCTCCCCATCCCTATCAATCAATAAGATCGCATTCTGAGTACATTTTATATTCGAATACTCAAGAGATACTCAACCTTTTCTAAGGACTGCAGGTTGAGAAGTTTATCCTGTATGTTTTCAGAAAGGAGAGAAAGTGACTTAATGGACTTCACTGCGATACAGCTGTTCTCTCATGGTCTCCATGAAATATTTTATGAACAGTGCTTTTACTGAGTTCATGTCTAATCCATATTCTCACTTTGTTTATGTAAAAGAAATGGAATTTATTGCTATATAAGTCATGGTAGGGGGTGCAACAAGGCAAATCCTGAAATCTCTGGCTTAACACCATAGAGATTTGATTCTTACACACATTCCCTGTGAATGTCTGTGAGGTGTCCTAGACCTGTTGACTCGGGAGTCTGGGTTGCTCCATCTGGTGATGCTGTCATCTCAACACATGAATCTCAAGGTCAACGCTGAGAGCTTGGAAGTGTTTCACCCACTCAAATGCCTGATCCAGGAAGTAGCACACATCACTTTCAGCCTCTTTTTATGGGCTGGATCTGGTCACATTGTTCCACCTGTCCACAAAGGGACTGGGAAGTGTGTGAGCTTCCAGTGTGCTTAGGAAGAGCACGTGACCAAGCAGCCTCCACCATAGTCAGGAACTGGTAGAGAAAGAAACTCTGTTCTTTAGAAGGTAAAGGATGCTGATCCCACCGCATTGCTCATGCACTTAACCAAGATTTCTGAGCAAATATTTGGTGCTAGCTATAGCAAGAAACAGGACAGACGTGAGATGTGTCTTCTGACAGCTCATGAATGGTGAGCATAGATATGCAACATTTGGAGACGTGCCTTCCACTGGAGATGCTTGGGGCTTGCTGGACCCATTAGCTTCCTGGTGTGAGGCTTTGACTGTACCTCTGCATTGATAGTGGCAACCCTTGGGAAACATGGTCTTGATAGTAAATGTGTTTTTTCTGTCCATCCAAAAGAACATATTTGACTTAGAGAGGCATAAAAGAAATTGGTTACTCACATACATTCGTTGAGTCTTTTAGTCCTAAGTTTAACAAAAATTACTATATGTTTTTTCCTTGCAACTATCCTTATTGATTCACTATTTGCCACCATTATGGCATAGCTCTCAGAGGAATAAGTTTAGCAAAACAAAACTATCTCTCACTTCCTTTCACTTGTACACTTGTGTATACACTCCACTCGTGCCAACAGGTGGAGCTTTAAGGATTGGAGAAGTCTTTACCTTCAGAATTTAAAAATTTATGTTTACAATTATTAATGTGATGATATTAGAGGAGACATCAAAATAAAGTCACTTTCCTGCCTCCCACATCCATATCCAGGAATGCTTTCTACCAGTTTCATTCCTGAGCACTTTTTACATGTCTCTAATCAATTTTAAAACATGCTTTTTTCCACTTAATAGTATATTTTCCATGTTGCTGTAGAGTCTTCACAACTAAAAATGTTCAGAACGACATAACATATTGAATGGAAACACATAACTGTGTAACTCATGAGTTATTGAACATTTAGATTTTTAGATTTTGCAATATTATAAATAATGATGTAGTTGATATCTTGCCCATGGCATCCCCAGCCACACTTTTGGATAATTCCATTAAAATAAATTTTCAAAGGTACAATTAGCATTCAAAAGGGTATTATTAATTTGCACCAACACCAGCCATGAATGGAAGTAATAACTTAATCATGCCCTTGGATATACAAAAGAGAGGGAGATACCATGATCATGAATGTAGGTTCTAAAGTCAGCCCACCTGGATTCAAATCCCAGCTGACCCACTTAATTGTGTGATTTCAGGCAAGCTACTTAAACCACGTTATGTCTTAGTTTCCTTATTTGTAAAATGAAGATAACAATATTCAACCATGCATCTTGCATGCTTTTATTGCAATTTAAAAATTTCTAGATATTTTAGCATAGCCAAGATATTCACAGTTGAGAGGCTAGACTTTCAGATTTGGGTTATCTGTAAAATAATGTTAAGACTTAATTAGAAAGAGAAGAATTCTTATTCAGTTTTGTATGGCCCAAGACCCACTGAAAACTATGATGCCAACGCTGATGGCAGGCACCAATGATATTGTTTATGTTTCCTTCATTTGGGGCTTACAGGGACAATTCACAAAACAGTATGATAAAGGTCATTTAGAAACAAGGAGGAGGGAGGAACTGGCTGCCTGAGGGATGGGGAGTGGTTGACACTGGAAAGGCTAGACCATTGAACAGAGTCTTAAGTGACTAGTCTGGGATGTATGCCAGGAAGAAAACGTGATGGAGAGAGGACATTCCAGGTGCAAAAGGAGGCATTTATGCAATCATAGAGGTGAAAAGTGCTGAGCCTGGTGTTCTGGGGATGGCAGGTGGTACTGGATGCCCTGGTGAGGAATGCCAAGAGAGGAGAAAGCTAGAAAGGTTGATCAGAGAATTCATGACGGCGTTCAATACCATGCCAAAGAGTTTCAACATAAAGAAGTGGAGATGCCTGTAAGAATTGTGAGCTCGATAAAGATTTTTAAGCAAGGGATTGACACAATCAGATTTAAGTTTAACAAAGACTATGTTCAACTAACAAAGGCAATGGTGGTTGGTTAGTTGCCTGCCCAATAGCTATCACTCCCATTTTTCTTACTTAGTTGAAGCCTAATTTTAATTGGAATGGTAATGTACCCAGCTTTAAAAAATATATTTCTCAGCTTCCCTTGCAGCTAGGAACACCATATGTCACATTTCTGGCCAATGAAATGTAAGCTGAAACTTTCTGGGAAACTTTTGTTTTCCAATTATAGATATCACCTCTTTCTCCACACTGCATTCTTTTCCCCTTCTACATCCCCTTTTACATCCCCTCATCCTTTTTCTTCTTTCTGGAATATGGAGCAGCCAAGTTACAACCATGAGACCACAGGAGTGTGAAAGTGTGATGCTTTCTAAAGTATGACCTACTGGTGCCCCAGAAAGTTGAAGGAGGCTGGGTTCCTAAATGCATTGTGATTATGCTGTAGAAGCCTAAATGGACTCATCCTGAATTTCTTGTGAGATGGAGTAGGGAGGGGGAAAGACATTTGTTTAAACCACTGTTATTTAGGCTTTTTGTTATTTATAACTGGAAGCAGTTTCTACTGCTGTAAAGTGATAGCCAGTTGAAGTCAAGACAAGTTCACTGCAATTGCATTCTTAAACTGAACTTCCTGAGTGAAAAAATTCCAAAAGCAATGGTAAGATAGAAGCCTCCATGTTCTATATTGACTGAGCTTCGGCTGGTGATTTCTTGTAGCCCTTCGGAAGGGAAAATTTGACTCCAGCAGTCACATTATGTCACAGAGCTATGAGGGGGCTATTTAAGGCCGAATTGTAGGTGGGAAATATGAGGAATCACATCAGCCTCTCCCATCTCACTGTCTTCTCTATTAGCCTCAGGTAGGGAACAGAAAGGAAATAGGAAAGGAAGTGTTGATAAAATGCTTCCAGTAAGCTTCTCTGGCAAGGCCTGGGAGTTGATAGGCAATAGCATTCTATCATAGAAATTATAAAGTGTCTTGAAATATCATGCTCATCATTTCCTGAAAATGTCAGTTCCTTTCTAAACAACTCACACCGCACGTATCTTGAGTGCTAAGCTTTTTTTCTCTTCTGGAATTACCTCCCATTGAAGACTCAGCCTAAATGTCACTTCTGATGTGAAGCCTTCCCTGCCTCCCTATGAGTCACAAGATATAGACTATCACCCTAGCTGTCACCTACCCCCCATCTTAATAAACATTTATGGAAGGCTCATTATGTCCCAGGAATGGTTCTAAATACTTTATACACATCATCTCATTTAATCCTTGTGTTGGTTTTCCTAAGACTGCTGTAACAAATGACTACAAACTTGGTGGCTTAAAACAACAGAAATGTATCCTCTTACAGTTCTGGAAGCCGGAAGTGGAAAATTAAGGTGTCATTAGGGTTGGTTCCTCCTGGAGGCTCTGTGAGAGAACCTGATTCATGCCTCTTTCCTAGTTTCTGGAGGCTGTGGGCAAGCCTTGGTGTTCCTTGGCTTACAGACGCGTTACTCCAATCTCTGCCATCTCCCCTCACATCACCTTTTCTTCTGTGTCTTTTCCCTTTCCCCTAAAAGGATATCTGTTATTGGACTTAGCACACACCCTAATCCAGAATGATTTCCTCTCAAGATCCTTAATAACATCTGCAAAGATTCTTTTTCCAAATAAGGTCAAAGTCACAGATTCTAATTAGACATATCTTTGGGGGTGGGGGGAGTTCCATTCAACCCGCTACAGTCCTCCTAAAACACATATGAAGTGACTACTATTATTAGCCCCATTTTATAAATCAGAACCCTTAGTGAAAGGCTAAATAATTGCCCAAGATTCACAGCTCAGGAGGGGTGGAGCACTTCAAGCAGCCAACGTGCATTCCCTTAACCACTGCTCTACACCCTTCTCTTTGTCTTATTCATTGTTGCCTCCCTAGTGCCATGCACAGAACCTGGCCCTGAATCAGGACTCAATAAATGTCTGTGGAAGAAATGGATGGATGGATGGATGGATGGATGGATGGATGGATGGATGGATGATGAAATGTTCTTCTCTCCCCCACCCCCACCCCACTCAGCCTCTAAGTAGCTGAGACACATTGCTGTCAGATGCAGCTAGCCTTTTTAAATTCAAATATATTCCTGTTGATACCAAGTGTTAGTTCTCATCTGATTTGGCATCAATGTTACATTTTCTTTCAGAGCTCGATATTGCTTTTTAAAATATCTAAGTAAAAATATGCAGCTTGGTAGATGAAAAATGTCTTTGTCTGCAACTCCAGGCTCTCCCTGAGAAAACGCCAGAGAACTCAATACCAACACTCCCCCTTCAGAGGTCACCTTGAGCCTCCTCCTCCTTCCTTGCTTAGAGGTGGCTAGGAAATGGAAGAAGAGGTCCCCTGGGTCTGAAAATTATAATAGACGGCAGCAGTGACTGCTAGTAGAGGAGGGGAGAAAAGCCGGAATTGGCTGTGATGGGAGTGGAGATCCTTGGCTGTGACTAACAGGGCAGACTGTGTCAAGATGTTTAGTGGTGAAGCCAAGTGAGTAAGAGTGGGACGGTGGCTTGAGAGAGAGAGGGTTGAGGGAAGACTGTTTTTTAGAATACACATGACTTGGACATGTTTATCACACTGGAAAGAAGGAGCCATGGCAGTTGTAGGGGCACTGACAAGCAAACTCTTACTGGGATACAGGGCACAGGAGAACAATTGGCTTTAGAGATGAAGAGGGAAGGAAGTGCAAAGGGAATGTGCTCTCCTCTCCATGAAGGTGAAAGATTCAGGGAGTGACGGGGTTCATGCTGAGGTGGGATCCGAAGTCAGAGGAGAGGGATGAGTAGGCAGAGAGGTGAAGGGTTGGAGCTGCTGCTGAGGGCTGTGTAGAAGAGAACTGGTGGAAGTAAAAGGAAGCTGAACAGAGCTGAAACCGATTAGTCAGTATTATGCTCTTCATACGACAGAGAAAGCTTACCCAGAGGGTCCAGGGTAATAGATCTTTTGCTGGGACTTCCTTCCCAACATCCCTCCACACACATACAAATGCACATAAGCATGCACACACCACCACCACCTAATAAAGAAAAACGAGAGAGAGTCACTCTAGGAATCTGAGGGGACACTACCTTTCCCCACCTACCTAATTATGTGGCTTTTTGAATTAGGGCTGGATAGCAAACTTGCCTTGTTTCTACTCACAATTTCTCTCTTGAAATTCCCATTAATGAAACAGCTTAGTTTGGTTTAGCTAACTGCATGCATGACTGCCAAAAACCACATCACAATGCAGGAGGAATGCAGTCTCTAGCAACGCTACAACAGCTTAACCACATTGTTTAAAGAGAGGAGCTGGGGCAGCCCCAGTGCTTCTGAAATCCATTTAAGATGTGTGAAAACATGAGACTGAAATTCTGACCTTTCCCTAGAGCTGGAAGAACCTCCTCCAGGGGGCTGTTTGGAAGACTGCAGATGCAGGCCTGGGCCCATCTACATCTCCCCAAGACTCTGGCTTCTGGTAGCCTGTCAAGCAGGGAAGCCCTGCCTCTGTGTCCTGTCCCTGACGGGGCATCAGCCTGGTTAAGAGTGCAGTCTCTGAAGCCAAGTTGCCTTAGTTCAAGTCTTGACTGCTCCATTTATAGTGTGGCCTTGGGCACTTAACCTTCACACACTTCAGCTTCTCCATCTATTTTTGGCATTAAAGTTATTGACATAAAAGTACCTAGTCACATACATGTTATAGGGATTAAATACAATAAGTAAGGCCTTTCCCATAGTTTGTGCTCACTTGGTATAATTGATCATCATCATTCTCATTGTTATTGTGCTTAATTCTTTAGTGACTTGGAACCTTTGTTTCCCCATCTGCAAAGAAAGGACAATAACATCACCTTCCTTAAGGTGGCTTAAAATAAAAACAGATTAAAGAGACTAGGATGTGCTTGGTATGTGGTAGACACTTGATATGTGGCCATTGATTTTACTACATCTCTACTACATCCACTGATTTTTCTCTTGCTGGCCTTGCAGAAATGTAAATGGCTTGATTTCTTCAGTCGTTAAGTATGAAGATGGAAGATGGGTAGAGCTCACACCACAGGCTCTGGGGTCAGATAGAGCCAGGTTTGAGTTCTCTTATGAGCTTTGAAACCTGGGGTGCTATTTAGCCTCTTTTATGCCTTAGTTTTTTTAATCCGTAGAAAGGGGAATAAAAGTATCCACTGTGAAAATGCCATGTGATAAAGCAGTATCGGGGCCAGAGGAGGACTGCAGAGTGTGAAATGCATGCTCCTTGAGGGCAGGGGCTCTCTCAGGCTTCCTGTTATATCCCCACAACTATGAGCACACCTGGCTTGTTGTAGGGCTGCTCCATAAGTATTTGCAGCCTGACTAATGTAGAAGTGAGGCAGAAGCTCAGTGCTGATCTTTGAAATGAGGTGTGGTCCAAGAGGGCCTCATAATTTCACTCTGTATAATTGGTTGAGCAAGTGCCACCCTCACTTATTAGTCTTTTTTTCTGTACTGCAGCTCTGTTTGAGTCTTCCAGAAACAGAAGTATTGCTCTGCAAATACTTTTCTGCCACTGCAGAGGGTTCTCATACTTAAAAAGTTCCAGTCAGTCACCATGCATCCCACCACCCCACGCCCGACACTACCTGTGAAGAGGCTTCCCAAGTGATAGATGGTCATGCTTTGACTAAGCAGCCATGAGAAGATGTCTTGCTTCTATTAATTATCCTAAATTGGTTATTGATTATGGTTAGATTTAGAAATATAGTCACTGTCCTGGTTTAAATGTAAACACTGCAGGATTCTTGCTTATGAACCTTGTGAAGATACTAGAAGATCCTAACTGACCTCCAAATCACACTTTGAGAGTTCTTGGAAACAAAGTTCCTACGTTACTAAAGAATTAAAAACTACAACAACGATGATGATGATGGTGGTGGTTACCATCAATTGCACACAGACTATGAAAGAGGCATGGAGCTAAATTCTTTACATGTATTACTTTATTTAATCCTCATAACATGTATATGAGGGTTAGAAAAGGGGCTTCCCTCTCCCCAAGATTTACTGATGAAGTACACACTCAGCTGCCTGACCCTAAGTGTTCAGGGAGCACTGGGAGCCAATATGCATGAGCATTTGAGGGTAAAACACTCTACTCCATGGCCTGCTAGAGGGATTCTTCTGAATTTAAATCTGAGCCTGTCTCTCTCAGACTTAAAGCACATCTCTTCAGTGAATCTTCACTCATCCTTCAGGTCTCAGCTTACATGCCACCTCCTCTAGGAAGGGTTCCCTTGCCCCCAGGATTGAATGAGGCTTCCCTCCCAGGTGCTCCTGTAGCCTTTAGGGCTTACTGAGATCATTGCACTGAACTGATAAGTCAGAATTGAAGTGTTCTGCTCACTTCTGTACCTCTCTCACTCCACAATGAGCAAAGACTGTGTCTTATTGACTAGGTTTCCAGGGCCTGGCACTGTGCCTAGAACAAAGAAGTCATTGATATAGTTAGGATGCTTTGTGCTGCAAGTAATAGCAGATCCCAGCTCAAACTCAAACTGGCTTAAACAATGAGGAAATGTATAACTTCAAAAAATCAGAAGTCAGATACACCATGCAGTAGGATCAGCAGCTCAATGATCTCATCAAGGGTTCGGGTTCTGATCTTTTTTTCTGGCCATCATCAATTCAGTTCCACCCTAAAGCTAGTTGCCTTTGTGGTCACAGCATGACCCTCAACACCATATGATTCACATCTAGAAGAGAAAAGAGGGCAACCTCTTTCCCAAGTGCAGTCTATAAAACCTTCCTTGTAATCTGATTGGGTCAATTTATGTTAGTCCACCCATACAGTCCTTGGCAGGTAATCACCATCATCTGATTGTCCCAGACAAATTATGATTTCTATCTAGAATAGGAATGAGATATAAAAAAAAAATCTAGGTTTAATTAGAGAGGAGGAAAGTAGAGACAGATGTAGGCTAAGCGACCGGGAGTACACTTTACATAGGTGCTGAATAACTATTTGGTGAATGAATAAGTGTGTCTTGGTGCTCCTAGAAACTACTCCAATGGGGAAGTCCATCAACAAAGTGGGAGGGGCTGAGGCTCTCATGGCACCTCTCCTGGCATTGAAATGTCCTCCACCTAAGGAACCTTTAACTGATCTAGACACAATAGAACCATGTTCAATCTGATGCTTCTCTCTCAACCATCCTCTTGCTCAGAGAGGATAGTGGTAAACTTCTCTAGCCAAGTGAAAGCATTTCTAGAGTTTTGCAAGCAACACCACATCGCTTTATTTCAGACTGTTTCCCTGACTCTAAAAAGGAGCTTAGCAGACCTGCAGCTCTTATCTTACTTACAACCCAAACTGTTCAGTGCTCATTATTTTTAAAGAACCAGAAAACTCTGCTTGGGAACAATGAAGGGAGTGCAGCCCCTCTTCCAAGCCTGTGTCCTATATCTGCCCAACCTACCTCTCAGGGAGCTGGTGAGGGTGGATGGAAACATGGGCCTTTGGGACCCGAAGGGTCTGTCCTGAAATACCAGCTCCACTGTTGACTCAGAATGAGACCATGAGAAAATCACTTACTCTCTGTGACTCTTCTTTTCCTTATCTGTGAAATAGGACACTCATAAATAAAGACCTGCCTTCCCTACCAGAAAGAATGGGCTTCTGAACTGTCAGAGTAGGAGAATTTGGGTTTAGAGAAATTAAGACCTTATAGAGAACAGACGGTGGGAGGAAGAGGAGGAAACATCAACAATAAACCTAGGAAAGGTCTCATGAATATAAGTTTCATATTTTTCCTAAAATAGAGTTTTTAAAAAGGCACAAAATGTCAGTGACATTTAACACGTATTAAAACACTAATAACAAGTGCTATCCAATTAATTTCTATTTACCACCCCTTGCTTGTAAGAACATCTTTAAGATCTTCCTCCCCTTAAGTTTTCAGGAAAATGCTGAAATTTCAGGTTGCAGATAAGAGGCAGGTTGAGAGGTGTTTGTTGGTTGGTTGGTTTGTTCCTGCATTTGGGTTTCCATCTACACATTCATGTATTTCTGCCAGTTCACCTGGGCATTGTTTTCTCCTATTCGCCAGAGACCCACGTTCAAGGCACCTTAATGAACAAACCCCATGGACCATCTGTCTACACAAGACCTGCTCCTTCCCTGGGTCTCCTGGTCTCAGGGAAACACCACCATTTACCCAGTTACCCAAGGAAGAACCTGGACATGGGCCTGGACTCCTCATATTAGACCCTCACCTCCTATAAGTCCCCAGGTCCAATCATTTACTGCATGAGACTCCTTGAATCCATTAGCCTCTGTCCACACTCACTCCAGGTGGCTGTAGGTTACTTTTCGTTGTTTATCAAGACCACTGTAACCACTTCCTGTCTGGTTTCCTCCAGTGCATCCAGACCACATAAAGCAGCCTGAATGAAGGCACATCAGACTCTGTCACTTCCTTTCAGAAAACATCTCAAAACCCTCCAGTTCCATCTCTCCCCAAATAAATCAGAAGTCAGATACACCATGCAGTAGGATCACCAGCTCAATGATGTCATCAAGGGTTTGGTTTCTGATCTTTTTCTCTGGCCGCCTCCCCTGAACTTCCTCCTGACATAAATGCCAGTTTAATGAATACCTGCAATCCCTCAGTGACTTCATTCTCATGCCTTTCCACATGCTGCTCCAATTTCTGGGAACACTTCCCTCCACACCCAGCCTAAGTAATTTCTCTTTGACTTTCAATACTTTTATAAAATTTAACCACTTTGTGGCTCAATTGTTTTCTCCCATACAATGAGAATAAATGCCTGTGAGTTTTATTATTATTATTATTATTATTCTGTGAGTACCTACCTCGCAGGTTGTTGGAAGGCATGAATGGGTTAATCCACTTAAAGCATGAAGAACTGTGCCTGGCAGTTCAATAGATGTTAGCTATTTCATCCTTTCCAAGTAGACTTGACCCTGAACCATATCCCTCTCTCTGGTTATGCACTCCTGTGTTATCCCACACTTCCCTCATCATTACCCTTAATAAACTGAATTCAGATTGAATCACTAGAATTTGCATTCCTTGAGATCATATACAAGGTCTTATTTATATTTGTGTCTCAGCTCAGCAGGTAGGGCCAGGAACAACAAAGGGACATAGTGAATTTCAGTTGAATGAATAAATGTTCAGGCCAAGAAGCCCTTTTACCATTGCCTGAAAGTCATGCCAAATGAATTATGGAAAATCGCTCTCACTGGGGCTTCTGACAAACTGCTCCTGAGATATCTGGGTTTTTGCCTCAATTCACACCAGCCAGGGACAACCCCGCCAACTCTCTGGGGTAGTAGCATGACAGGCAGAGCTACCCTCTATTTCACTTAAAAAAAGAAAAAGAAAACCATGAAGAGGAAAATTACTTAGTCATCACTGTCAATCTTGGCAAATAAACATTGCTATTACGTACTTCAGAACTCAAGCAGCAACACATAATTAGGCACAGGTTCAATCAGCAGCAAGATGCAGGTTAGGGGAGTGTGTGAGAGGATGAGTGGCTCATTTGCACTGCAGAAGAGGTGAGATGTTGATTTTCATGCAAGCACTGTCTCAGAGATTCCCAACTAAATAGGCGCATTTAGATTTTTAAGGCCCAACTAAGCGAAATGCTTTTTCTGGAGAAAAAAGAGCAGGGAGTTGTATAGATGTGTTTCTGAGTGGCAGCTGCAGATCTATTATAATTTTACTTGTTTTCTGATTATAGAACTAACGTATTTTCATTATGAAAACTTGGAAAATATAGAAAACAATAAAGAAGCAAATAAAAATCTGTAATAATCTCATCCACTTGATCCTATCATCCGCTTGATTCCTTTTATATCTACATTCAGTAACTCACTCAGTAAATGATCTCATCCAGTCTCATGGCTTTAAATGCTGTCTTTATGTGCATGAGTCTCAAATTAATCTCTCCAGCTCTGTCCTCTCCACCAAGCTCCAGACTAGATGTCAAAGAGACAGAGCCTTACAGCTATTTAATAGCATCAAAAACTCAATATGGCCATAATAAATCTCTTGCTTTCTACCCTCTCTCTGCAAAAATGTTCCCTCCTCCAATCTTCCCAATATTTGTAAATGCCACCATTATACACCCAACTGCTTAAGCCAAAAACTAAAAGTCATACCTTTAACCGTCACAAACATTTAGTCCATCAGTCTTACCTCTACCTCCAAAAAAAATCCAATTTCCTACGTCTTCCATCTCTACTGCCATCACCCAAGTGCAAAATGCTGATGTATGTTGCCCAGAATCTTGTAAGATCAGTCTCCTAACCCATTTCCTTGCTTTCTCTATTCTTTGTATGGCATTCAGAATGCTATCTGGTTATTTTCTTAAGCCTCCTACTTAAAAGTGAAATCGCAAAAATAAATAACTTAAGGTTCTTGATTATATATGTGTGTATACATGTATATACATATATGTATATATACACACATATATATGATATATATATACATATACATACATATGATATACGTGTATATATATCATATCATACACATATATGATATACGTGTATATATATCATATCATACACATATATGATATACGTGTATATATATCATATCATACACATATATGATATGTGTGTATATATCCTACACATATATATGTGTGTGTGTATATATATCCTACACATATATATGTGTGTGTATATATATCCTACACATATATGATATGTGTGTGTGTATATATCCTACACATATATGATATGTGTGTGTATATATATCCTACACATATATGATATGTGTGTGTATATATATCCTACACATATATGATATGTGTGTATATATATCCTACACATATATGATATGTGTGTGTATATATATATCGTACACATATATGATGTGTGTGTATATATATATCCTACACATATATGATGTGTGTGTATATATCATATCCTACACATATATGATATGTGTATATATCATAGCCTACACATATATATGTGTGTATATATCATATCCTACACATATATATGTGTGTATATATCATATCCTACACATATATGATATGTGTGTGTATATATCATATCCTACACATATATGATGTGTGTGTATATATCATATCCTACACATATATATGTGTGTGTATATATCATATCCTACACATATATGATATGTGTGTATACATCATATCCTACACATATATGATATGTATGTGTGTATATATCATATCCTACACACATATGATATGTGTGTATATATCATATCCTACACACATATATGTGTGTATATATCATATCCTACACACATGATATGTGTGTATATATCATATCCTACACACACATGATATGTGTGTATATATCATATCCTACACATATATGATATGTGTGTGTATACATCATATCCTACACATATATGATATGTATGTGTGTATACATCATATCCTACACATATATGATATGTGTGTGTATACATCATATACTACACATATATGATATGTATGTGTGTATACATCATATCCTACACGTATATGATATGTATGTGTGTATACATCATATCCTACACGTATATGATATGTATGTGTGTATACATCATATCCTACACGTATATGATATGTATGTGTGTATACATCATATCCTACACGTATATGATATGTATGTGTGTATACATCATATCCTACACGTATATGATATGTATGTGTGTATACATCATATCCTACACGTATATGATATGTATGTGTGTATACATCATATCCTACACGTATATGATATGTATGTGTGTATACATCATATCCTACACGTATATGATATGTATGTGTGTATACATCATATCCTACACGTATATGATATGTATGTGTGTATACATCATATCCTACACGTATATGATATGTATGTGTGTATACATCATATCCTACACGTATATGATATGTATGTGTGTATACATCATATCCTACACGTATATGATATGTATGTGTGTATACATCATATCCTACACGTATATGATATGTATGTGTGTATACATCATATCCTACACGTATATGATATGTATGTGTGTATACATCATATCCTACACGTATATGATATGTATGTGTGTATACATCATATCCTACACGTATATGATATGTATGTGTGTATACATCATATCCTACACGTATATGATATGTATGTGTGTATACATCATATCCTACACATATGATATGTATGTGTGTATACATCATATCCTACACATATATGATATGTATGTGTGTATACATCATATCCTACACATATATATGTGTGTATACATCATATCATACACATATGATATGTATGTGTGTATACATCATATCATACACATATATGATATGTATGTGTGTATACATCATATCATACACATATATGATATGTATGTGTATATACATTATATCATACACACATATATATCATATATGTGTGTGTATATATATATATTTCCGAGTTGATTTACAGAAGTTATCTACCAATGTCAATTGCACCAGCAGTGTCTGGATTTTAAGATAGCATCCTCACTTGTGCGATGCACTTGGCCAAGAGTAAGCTTGAATGTTTCTGTTGGTTTACATTTCTGTCTCTCCTACTGGTTAATGCAATAATTATTTCTTTGATCATTTCATATTTATATAGCAGCATGAATTTTCAATCCATGATGCATGTGAATTAAAATGTAACTTTTAAATACTTTTTGTTATAATTGAACTTAGTAGCTACCTAAAGCCCCCATGTTGTCTAATGGCAGAAAACTCAATCTATTTAAGGAACTCAGTCACTTAGGATTTTCTCTGTCACTTCAAGTTTAAACTCAGTCAATTTGGGTTTTCCCCACCCCTTTTTTTTCTGCTTAAGACCTGAGATGTATCCAGATTGATGGAAATCGTAGGGCTCAGAGGGGTCTTGTAGAATCCTAGCCTCTGTCAGAAAAAAGGAGAGAGAGAATTGGTTTATGGCTGGCATCTGTCATTGCTTGGAATCTACTAAGAACTTTGTCCTATGTGGTCTTTGGTTAATCTCACTTTAATAAGTCGACATATCCTGGGCTCCACCATCAACTCCAGGTGTTAATTGGTCCAAGCAGTCCATGGTTGACTCTTTATCAGTCATTGCCAGACCCTCTTGTGGTCACAGGCAACTTTGGAAACTTTTGGACACTCTCCCATGGCAGTCTGGAACCACACAAGACTGAAAGAGCTATTTTGGAGCCTCTATGTATCTTATTCCCATTTCCTCTCTGCTTCCAGTTCACTATACTGCTTTTGGGCTACACTTGCGAAGTTCTACACAGGTTCTTTCTTTAGGCTTTTCAAACCTACTCAAGTGTTCCATTATCTCCTGGCCTGAGATTAAGCTCAGGGAGGAGATAATTAATGTGGCAGACACAGAGATAAACGACTGCCCAGATCCCTCTTTATGCTAGATGTTGTTACTCAGGTGCAGGGAGTGAGGACAGTCAGCAGATGGTCTCCAGCTGTCAGCTTCTCCCAGATGCAGATGCAGAACCTTGCCGAAGGTCATGCCCTTCCCAGAGCAGCTTGTATCTGGTGACTAAGTAAGGTGGGGGTATAAAGGTCCAGCCATTCTGCCCAACACAGAATTACTTTGGGAGTACTATTTGCTCCAGAGTGCCTGCTGCTTAAGGCTTGGTCAAGGTTGCCTTGCAGCTCAACTTTTCCCTCAACCCAATTCTGCTTTCTTCTTTTTCCTTTCCTAATCATTAATTGCAAATCAGTATTTTGCACCCCAAACCTCATCTCAGAGTCTACTTGAGAGAACCCACCCTTCTGTTTTTGGTAAGCTGAATCATGTTCATGATCCCTTCTCATGAATACTCTGCAAGTTTCTTGCTCCCCCTGAGAGCTCCCTCCTTCAGTTTAGCCCTTGGAAGTTTTACAGACTCTACAGAAGTAGACCATTAGCTTTTATATGTTATCACTCAATAGCCCCAATTCTCATAGCATGTGGCTTTTGGCACAAAAAAAGCCAAGCTTTTGAAACTCAACAACTTTTTCTATCAACCTATTTTCTTTGCCAGGACTTTGAAAAGGCTCTTTTGAAACTCAAGATTGAGAATTGATGCCTTTGTTGTCTTTTGTTTGGCTGTGGCCTCCCTTCTTTGAGGCAGTGAGCTCCAATTGCCCTAGTTGCTGCCTTGAAATAAGTAGAAGGTTCCCATGATACATAAGAAATGTGGAGGTATGTGTACGTGAAGCATGGAAAATTCTCAGGTTAACTCAAAAATCTTATCCTAGCTTATTTGCCAAATACCTGCAGCCTTGTAAACACCATTGAAAATAGGCAGAGCTCAAATTTGTGCTGGTTCTGAAACCCAGACATGGAAGGCAGAGACAAGGCATAGCAAGGGCAAAAGCTCCCTAAAATCGTAATTGTCAGTACCTGAAAGCTAAAAGATATTCTGCCAAGAACTTGGAAGTAAATTTTCTCCTTTATGCAAAGTCACCTGAGCAAGACAGTGGTACCCAAAAAAACTGGGCCCTATTATATCTTAGCAGATATATTATTCAGAAGATGGAGTTAGAAATACTGGGCAACATCAAGAGTTTCAGAAACAGATGTGGGCAGTCCTATTGGAAAGTTCTTTCCTATGGTTATAAATCAATATATGCAAGATATTGATAAGATTTTGTTACAGTGATGGCCCTCAATGAACCACACTTTGTTTAGTCCCTTCCCTTGAATGTGGACTTGTCCTGTGACATGCTTTAACTAGTAGACTGCAGAGGAAGTGATGCTGTGCCAGTCATAGGCGTAAACCTCAGGACCTAGCAGCTTCTTCTTTCCTGCTGTTAGGAACCCCGAGCCTCCATATTAGAAACAGGGTAGGTCTGTTGAAGAGACCTTATAGAAATCCATGTGGGGAAAGCAGTCCTGAGACTATACGGAAAGAGAGGTGACCCAGGCAACCCAGGATTCTGACTGAGCGCAGAACCACTGACCAGCCAACTAAAAACAGCCAGTAAACTTCAGTAAGACCAGTAAATTACTGCCCAGCTAAACCAGGCTCATTTTACAGAATTGCGAGCAACAATACAATATTTTTCTATTTAAACCACTGAATTTTGTGATGTTTTTTTTTTTTCCAGCTTTAGATGACCCAAAGGAGATTGTAGCTTATAGACTTCAAGTCTTCAGGGCAGGCCCTCTCATTATGAGATAAATTCATCAGGCATCTTAGTGTAATGCTATTAAACATTCAATTCACCTTACTTCCTCTGTGCTAATTCCAGGCTCACACAACAATCTTTTAACCCTTCCCCAGTCCTGCACCTCCTGCTCTGCCAAGCAGTTCTGACTTAAGAGGGAGAAGGCACTAGTAAAAGACTTCAATAAATTTTTCTTTTAGGAATTTAGAAATTGAGATATCACTTACATACAGCAAAATACGCAGATCTTACAGTTCTATGAATTTTGACAAAATACATACAGCCTTGTAACCCACACTCCTGATAAAAATATAAACTACTTTTGTAACCCCAGAAAGTTCTCTTGTGTTCCTTTCCTACCAATCTTACCACCTCCCAAGCAACCACTGCTAGGGTTACATTTTGCATGGATTAGTTTTGACCATTCTTAAACATCATATAAATGGAATTATACAGTGGATGCTCTTTTGTGTCTGGCTTCTTTTACTTATATGTCTGTGAATTTTATTTCCATTGCTGTGTGAATTTGTAGGCATTCCTCTTAATTGCTGATATGGTTTGGCTGTGTCCCCACCTGAATCTCATCTTGAATTGTAGTTCCTATAATGCCCCCATGTTGTGGGAGGAACCAGGTGGAGACAATTAAATCATGGGGGAGGTTTCCCCCATCCTGTTCTCATGATAGTGAGTCAGTTCTCATGAGATCTGATGGTTTTATAAGGAACTTCCCACTTCACTGGGCACTCGTTCTTCTCCTTCCTGCTGCCATGTGAAAAGGGATGTGTTTGCTTCACCTTCCACCATGATTGTAAGTTTCCTGAGGCCTCCCCAGTCATGCTGAACTGTGAGCCCATTAAACCTCTTTCCTTTATAAATTACCCAGTCTTGGGTATGTCCTTATAGCAGCATAAGAACAGACTAATACAGTAAATTGGTACCAGGTAGCGGGGCACTGCTGTAAAGATGCCCAAAAATGTGGAAGTGATTTTGGAACTGGGTAACAGGCAGAGGTCAGAACAGTTTGGAGGACTCAGAAGACAGGAAAATGTGGGGAAGTTTGGAACTTCCTAGAGACTTGGAGGGCTCAGAAGACAGGAAGATGTGGGAAAGTTTGGAACTTCCTAGAGGCTCGTTGAATGGCTTTGACCAAAATCCTGAGAGTGACACGGACAATAAAGTACAGGCTGAGGTGGTCTCAGATGGAGATGAGGAATTTGTTGGGAACAAGAGTAAAGGTCACTCTTGCTATGCAAAGAGACTTGCTGAGTCTTCCGGCCTTCATCTTTCTCCCGTGCTAGATGCTTACTGCCATCAAACATCGGACTCCAAGTTCTTTAGGTTTTGGACTTTTGGATCGACACCAGTGGCTTGCCAGGGGCTCTTGGGCCTTTGGCCACAGACTGAAGGCTGCACTGTCGGCTTCTGTACTTTTGAGGTTATGGGATTCAGACTGGCTTCCTTGCTCCTCAGCTTGCAGACAGCCTATTGTGAGACTTCACGTCGTGATTACGTGAGTCAATACTCCTTAATACTTCTTGCAAAACTTTTCTCCCATTCTGTTGGTTACCTGTTCACTCTGATGATAGTTTCTTTTGCTGAGCAGGAGCTCTTTAGTTTGACTGGATCCCTTTTGTCAATTTTGGCTTTTGTTGCAATTGCATTTGGTGTTTTAGTCATGAAGTCCTTGCCCAGGAAGGTATAGATTTTAAGGAAACCTGATCCAAAACATGACTGTGCACTTTAATTTGGGAGTGGACGATAGTTTAGGAACTGGAGCAAAGAGAACAGTGAATTTATTCAGGGCAGGAGGGGAGTGTGTGTTTGCGGGGACGAGGTGGGGAATTGAGAAAGTTGAATGTAGTTGAAATAACTGTCCATGGAATTCAGGGTAGGTTAGGAAGGAAGCAAAATGGGATGGCGATATGATTGGCTGTGTCCCCACCCAAATCTCATCTTGAATGTTGGTTCCCACAATCCCCACGAGTCATAGGAGAGACACTAGGATGTAATTGAATCATTGGGCTTTGACCGCCATGATGTTCTTGTGATAGTGAGTTCTCATGAGATCTGATGGTCTTATAAGGGGCTATCCCCACTTTAGCTCTGCAATTCTCCTTGCTGATGCCATGTGAAGAAGGATGTGTTTGTTTCTCCTTCCGCCATGATTGTGAGTTTCCTGAGGCCTCCCCAGGTGTGCTGAATTGTGAGTCAATTAAATCTCTTTCCTTTATAAATTACCCAGTCTCGGGTATGTCCTTATTAGCAACATGAGAACAGACGAATACAGATAGGATTTAATGCAGGCAGATATTTATGTGATTAGAAATATTGCAATAAAAGTAAAGAGAGGGCTTAGGAGCATCTTTAAAAATATATCTCATTTCACAAGCACTCAGGAAGAGACCATTTGTGTCTAAACCTGACAAGTTGGGTTTGGTGGCTACTTGATCCCCATTTCAAACCCTCCGCTTTTTTCTCCTAGGATGGACTGCCTGGTTTACACTCATCTGTTGAATCATTTTTGTTACAAAGCCATAGAGTTAATGGGAGATTTGAATAAAATTGCTTTTATAAAAAGGGGCTCCTCAAGAAAGAAAAAATATTGAGAATTTCACCAGATCAAAGAGACACACTTCTTTAGCAGAAATAGATGATTAGTTGAGGTGTTTGTGATATAATTACAGATGGGTGGTGAGAGAACTCCCCCCCATGGTCCCCCATCATGCCCATAGACCTAGCACAGTATAGACTCCATGAGCTCCACCACTCCTTGATATGTAACCTTGGGCAAGTAAATGAACCTTCCTTAGTCTGTTTCTTCATCTTGAAAATGACTTCTCTTCTGGGGCGGTAATGTGGGCAGAATGAGAAAATGGATATAAAATAATGCAAGGGTTAGTCCTTATTTTGTTGGAGTGCCCACTGTAGTAGGTTTCTTTGAGGCTGACTTACCTAAAAGGATGATCTGGGATACATTTACTGCATTAAAGTTTCTTCAGTTCCCATCCAGATTCACTAAGGGAAACTGAAAGATACTTGAGTACATGAAAGATCTTAAGCTTGGTGCCCACATCAGAAGAAGTTTCTTGGTCTAAAGTAGTGATTCTCAAGTTTCAGCATGCCCCAGAATCACACAGAAGGTTTTGTTAACACACAGGTGGTGGCGTTCCACCACCAGAATTTTTGATTCAGTAGGTCCGGGATGGGGCCCAAGAATTTTCACTTCTAAAATGTTCCTAGTTGCTGCTGCTGCCATCCAGGAGACCACACTTGAAGAATCACAGGTCTTTGCTATCGTGAATAGTGCTGCAACAAACATATGCAGGCATGTGTCTTTATTTATAATAGGATGATTTATATTCCTTTGGGTATATACCCAGCAATGGGATTGCTGGGTCAAATGGTATTTCTGTCTTTAGGTCTTTGAGGAATCGCCACATTGTCTTCCACAGTGTTTGAACTAATCTACACTCCCACGAACAGTGTATAAGTGTTCTTTTTGCTCCACAACCTAGCCACCGTCTGTTATTTTTTGACTTTTTAATAGCCACTCTGACTGGTGTAAGATGGTATCTCATTGTGGTTTTGATTTGTATTTCTGTAATGGTTAGTGACGATGAGCTTTTTTTCATATGCTTTTTGGCCACATGTATGCCTCCTTTTGAGAAGTATCTGTTCATATCTTTTGCCTACTTTTGTATGGGGTTGTTTGGTTTGGTTTGTAAATTTAAGTTCACTTGCACCCCTTTAAAAAAAAGGAATCAATGAGTCTAAAAGACTTACAGATCTGAGACAGCGAGTCATTCCCCATGTGACCCCTTTTCAAAGCAGAGCCACCAGCACTATTCCCTGTCAATAGAGGAAGACATTTTTCGTTTCACAGATGAGTGGGGACTCTTGTTCCTTCTCTCCCAATCAGTGCTCTGAAGTGAAAGTCACTGACTTTTCATGATTAAACTCTGAAGCTTGGTTGGCCAGTCATTGAGGGAAGAGGCTGTAACCACACACCTAAATGAATGGGTTTGATTGATAATGAAGTGAGCTGTTTCTGGCATGATTGTGATGATGAAGGCATGGTCATGCTGCACGATGCAGGAGGCGATTAGGAGCAGTCTTCCTCGTTCATACTGGGTTAAAAAGGACTTCAGGGAGTGAGAAACAGCCAAATAGAGTAAATATAATTTTTAAGCAGGGAAATAAGCGCTACTGAGAGGTAATGCTGAAGGGAATATAAAATGTTGCCACCTGCCTTCTAAGCCTCCTTCTTATGCCTGGGAATTACCAAATGTGTGAAGTTGAGTCCAGTGCCCATAAAAGAAACTGCAAATACCAGGCACTTATCTTCCCTGCATTTAGGGGACCTGATGGAGACTCTGCCCCTCAGTGCAGTAACTCCAGATTCTACCTGAAGTTAACAAACCCAAGAAGCAGGGATTACTGAGAATCCACCTCTCAAGGAGTGGGGCAACTCTACTGAGTTTTTAGAAGCACCTGAAGCAGAAGTTCAAGGGGCAGCACAAGGCATGTTGGTGGTTTCAGGTATGCATGCTATGGTATCTAATGCTCAGGGGAGGTTACACTGGTGACTTCACCAGCTCAGTTGTCAGTTCTCGATCCTGGTTGGGTTTTGGCTACAGAGACTCCAAGCTTAGTGCCAGAGAGGTTTTTAGTTTGTTTGTGTGTTTTAATTTTGTTGTTAACTGTTGCTTGCAGCTGAGAACCCTGATCAATTCAAAATAAGTTTAAAACAAACTCCAAAATCAGAAAACCTAGTTATGAGTCCTGCTTTTCCATTTTTGTTTGTAATTTTGTGCAAATCTCTTAGCCTATCTCAGCCCTAACTCCTTAAATTGTAAATAGAGAAGAAGAGTAATTTCTACACAAAGGTTGTTGGAAATAATGAGACAAATATGTGGAAATGATTTTAAAACCATATTGCACTATAAAAACATGGGTTACTATTTTAATACAAATATAGACTTACATGGCCTCTCTATAACTGAGGCTTGATTTGGGCCCTTCCCCCAAATTAGTAAGCCTTCCCTTTTCTGTGCTCATCAGTACCTGAAATTGTCTCTACTTAGAGTATTTTCACAATGAATTTTAGTTACTTAATAATCTGTCTCTTCTACAAGACTGAGTTCAAGGGCAGTCTTGTTTACCTTTTCCTTTCCCTCTAGTATCAATTGGCACATAGCAGGTTCACGGTAATTGTCAATTGGATGAGAACATAAAAGAATTTGCCGAACACTCTAGGAGCATACTAGAAAGTTTCCAGTACAGATGCAACTCTCACTTTCTTCCTTGGCAACACTTTTTGGATTTGTAGCAACATGCCCCAATGGACAAGGGAGCGATCAGATGGAATAGGCTCATGGTGAGGCTACTGGTTGTCCTGCAGGTGCAAGTGATGGACGCAGTGGAGGAAATGCATTTTAATTGGTGGCATAAAAAACACTTCCCCAGTGCTGGGTTGGGTTGTAAGTGCCATCTGTCCTGCCACAGAGGATTAAAGGGAAGAACACCTTTCCCTGGATTCTGGAGACAGCGTAGGCATTAAGATGAGCTGTTGATATTAACTTGTCTGTGCTCCACCTGGCTAATTGCAGGCAAGGGAATCTGTCTAGGGTTTCCAGTTTGAAATCAAATGGATAATACAGTGGCAGGTCTCTCATTCCCAGGTGTTTGGTTGCGTTTGTTAAAGGGAATTCTAGAGAGAGTGAGAATTAAACATTTTTTGGCCTATCCTGGAAGGTTTTCTGTCAACATAATCCATTGTTTGATGTTTGATCTCCCAGTCACAGAAAAAAACAAAATGTGCTTCTTCATTCTGGCTCTGTCTTATCTTACACAACCTCTTTCATTTGCTTATTCCCTCCACAATTACTGAGTCCCTATGTTGAGTACTGGGGACACCAAGGAAGCTATAACATTGTTTCTGAAATATGAAAAAGTACTGTCATGGATAAGAAGTAGGGGAGGAAGTAAGACCTATAGAGGGAAGGAAGAAACAAAGCTAAGAAAGAAAAAGGGAAAGAAAAGACGCTTAGCTATGCCCATGGGTCACAGTCCCTGTTGTATTTTCTGTGCTGTCTCCCTCATTCTGTTTGAGAAATGCTTCCAGGAGGACCACCTATCGTAGTGCTTCTCCATTGTCTAGATGAAAGCCACATGGTCCAGACCTGGCCAACTCTGTTACAACATCTTCCTGTCCTCGGTGATGCATACAAAGATAGGACACAACAAAAGAAAAGCAAAGAGGGTCTCTCCATGAAACAGCCCATTAAGGTGCTGAAAAGGGAGAGATTTTTCCTCTGCTGAAGCCATGAGCTACACCTGTAAACACTGGGCTGCTGGAGGCCCTCAGTCTTGGGACTGGCTATGCTATGTTGTGGTAACAATCTGTAAGTCTCAGTTGCTGGTGACAAAGGTTTCTGCCTTGTTCACACTATCAGTACACTGAGGGGCAGCTGAGAGCTCTGTTCTAAATTCCCTTACTTGGGACCAAAGCTGATCAAGCAACCACTGATCTAAATGTTGCTAGTCACTATGGCAGAGGTAAAAAAGATTGAAGGGGTGTGTCCTGCCAATTAAATGTTCTAATCCAGAAGTGACACATGTCAGAAGTCACATGTCACTTCTGCTTACAACTCATTGGCCAGAACTAGTCATAGGACCCCAGCCCATCATAAGGGGATTGGGAGACATTAAGTCTCCTATGTTCCCAGAAGGGAGAGTAATCAGATATTTGGAGAACAAAGGAATGCATGTGTGTATGTATAAATGTATATAAGCATATAGATATATATGTATTTTTACATTAATGTGTGTATACATAGTCATGCATCATTTAGCAATGGAAATATGTTCTGAGAAATGTGTCATCAGGTGATTTTTGTCATCATACAAACATCAGAGTGTACTCACACAAACCTAGATGGTATAGCCTACTACACACCTAGCCTGTATGGCATATAGCCTATTTTTAGGCAGCAATTCTGTACAGCCTGTTACTCTACTGAATTCTGTAAGTAATTATAATTTACACCTATATCTTTGGCTTTCAGTGACTGTAAGCTTCTTGAAAGAAAGGCTAAACAATGTATCTATGTTTCCTAAAATATGAGAATTCCTTTCCTGAGACAAATATTGGCACCTGTGGTTGGGATAACATTTTACCCAGCAAGACCAAGAATCAATAAATAATGAATCCACATGCACAAATATTACTGCTTGTTATATTTTGCAGGGAGGGGAAACATTATATACATGAATAAACATTAGGATATGAATGTCCCTTTGCCTAATCTATGTGTGAATCTCATGCCATACGTTGCATTAAGTAAACAAAAGTCCATGAAGAATTGCAGCTCCCATCTTCAGTAATGGTTATAAAAATAACCGCATCCATCTACTATGTAATTCCCCTGTGCCCAGCACTATGCTGGGTGCTTAATATGCTTAATGCCGTTCTGTCCTCAGCACAACCCTGCAGTGAGTGAGTACAGTCATCCCCATTTTAGAGGCAAATAGACTGAGGCCCCAGAGAGTTTAAACAAGTTGCCCACAGCTGGTGGGGGTCAGGATCAGGATCTAGATGCTTCTTTTATGCCACATTCATCTCTCTGCCTCTTCAATGTCCTCATTCCCTAGCTCCAAAATCAACTTCTCAGTATTCACTTCTTAGGAGTGAGTTTCTGGCCCTTTCAGCTTCTACAGTAGGAGGTGAGCTTCTGGCAAGGAAATTGCGGGGGAAGAGAGAGTCGCTGTTAGGAAGGCAGCCAGCAGTGGCTGCCTCCCCATAGCACATGGGACAGGGCTGAAGAAACTGGAAGTGTTTACTGCAGAGGAGAATAATGAAAGGGTATGATTGCTGTCTTCAAGCATCCTAAATCTTTTATATGAGTGTCTCTAGAAGGTAAGCCCAGTGCAATGGGTGGGGATTTCAGTAAGAATCTTCTAATATCCCAGCAGTCAAGAGAATGGACTTAACAGAGGGCAGGTCATGCAAGGTGTTCAGACAGACTGGAAGGCGTCAGGCCATGGGGAAGGAGATGCACTCTGGAGTCAGAAAGACCTGGGTTGATCTAGTTCTGCCACATCTGAGCTCCGTGACATAGGACAGGTTATTTAAACACTGAGTCTCTCTTTCCTCATAAATTGAGCCAGATAATACCTATTCTGCAGGCTCATTATGAAAATTAGAAGTAATACATGCAGAGGACTGCTATAGAGCAGTGGAAATAAGAATATCATAATCATTGCCTTAGATGGGACATCTCCCTTAGCACAGCTCTTTGAGATTCAAGAATCAAATGAGAAGGGTAGAGCACTGACTGGTATGACCTGTAGAGATCTCACTGGGGTAAAAAGGTCTTTATGAAGCATAATATCCTAAAATGTGGGCAATTTTTTTGGGGGGGAGGATTTCATGACAAGTTTTGAGAGCAGCACTGATTGGTGGGAGGCAGCAGTCTTGTTACAGAAATTTTTTTCTTTGTGACTGTTGGTGGAGGGGTTGGGAATTTCCCATATTATGTGTACTTCATCTCCAATAAGGGATCAAGTTACTCTCTTTGACTTAACCGCAGCAAGCCTGTCATCGACCCTCTGTCTCGGTAAAATTCTCACCACTGAGTTTACAGTTGATTGATTGTTCCTTCCACATACTATAATTGCTTCATTAGAAGCTTCAGATGGTTCATTGTGTTGGCAACTTCCTGTAAAACTGTCTGCACAATCAGGGCCAGATACATGCCACTGAGTCACCAGGGATTGAATATTTGCGTGTGTGTGTGTGCATGTGTGTGTGTGTGTGTGTGTGTCTGTCTGTCTGTCTGTTTTCAAAAGGCAGACTATTATGCAGGGTTTATTCCATGGCTGAGGGGCAGCATCTGAGTGACCTCAGCCACCCCAGGGCATCAGTTACCATCTGTTTATTAACAGCTCTTCAATTTCTAGCTCCAGCCCAAGATCTCTTCCCTGATCTTCAGAATGAGATAGCAAAATGCTTCAAGGTATGATCCCACAAGCATCTCCAACTCAACATCCCTAATCTTGAGCTGATGATCCCCACTGCACCTCACTCCGCTAAAACCAGTGATCTCTCTCATTCCCCATCTCAGCAAATGGCATCACCATCCAGCAGTTGCACAGGCAGATTTCTGCCCATTGTCTGTTCTCCCTCACACTCTACACCCAGTCAGCAAGCCCTGTGAATTCTTTCTTCCACGCCTTTTTCTTCAGGTCCATTCCCTCATTCCCACAGTCACTTCCATTGCTTAAGCTACCACTATTTATTCCATGGGCTACAGCAACAGCCTCTTTCATTTGTGCTCCCTCCAAGCTCAAAAAGATGGCCAGTGCTGGGCATGGTGGTTCATATCTGTAATCCCAGATACTCAGGAAGCTGAGGCAGAAGGATCACTTGAGCCCAGGAGCTCGAGGCCAGCCTGGGCAATATAGAAAGACCCCATCTCTAAAAACAACAAAAAACCCTCAAACTGATAACATCACTTGCATATTTAAAACTCTTTAAAAACTTTATGCTGCAGTATACTTTTTTCCTTAGCATCTTGTATTCCTTTTTTACTTTCTTTTTTTTTTTTTTTTCCAGAGAGGACCTCTCTCTGTGCTGGTGTGCAGTGGCACAGTCACAGCTCACTGCAGCCTCAACCTCCAAGCTTAAGTGATCCTTCCACCTCAGCCTCCGGAATAGCTGGGGCCACAAGTGCATCCCACCACACCCAGCACATTTTTTTAGTTTTGGTAGAATTAGGGCTCTCACCACATTGCCCAGGCAGGTCTCAAACTCCTGGGCTCAAGTAATCCCCTTGCCCCGGCTTCTCAAAATGCTGGGATTACAGGCATGAGCCACTGTGCCCATCCCCTTTCTTTTTAAAAAATAATCCTTATTTCTCATAACACTCTTTTTCCCTGACATCAAGGGTCGTGTCTTTCTTATTCACCACAGTATATCCCCATGATTAGCAGCTGTTAGCCACAGAGAAGGAGCTCAGGAACCATCCACAGCCATGAAAGAACAAAATAGGAGGTCATCTTGTTAGCTGACATTTCTCCCTATAGTCTAAAATGTCTTCGGGGACGGAGAATGGAGCTCTTCAAATATCAAATGGGCAGAACGTAACAAATAAGTCTACCCGGAGTATGAGATGCAAGCCTTTCACAAATGTGCCTCTCCAGCCTTAGCTCTACCAAATCCCATCCTTTCCTCTCACCTCCATTACTGCTGTCTGTGCTCCAAGTGGCCAGAACTGTCCTCTCCTGTCTGCAAACACCCCAGGCCCATTCACATGCTCATTCATATCACCATTGCTTTTGCACATGTGTTCCTCTGCCTTTTCCTTCCTTCCTTCTCCACCCAGGGAAATTCTGCTCATCCTCAGTGGCCACTTCTTTGACTACCCCAGGTAAAGATAGTTGCTCCTACCTTGGGTTAGTCAGTTCAGGCTGCCATAAACAAAACACCATAGACTGGGTGGCTTAAAGAACAGACACTCATTTCTCACACTTCTGGAGGCTGAAGTCCAAGATCAGGGTGCCAGCATGGTCAGGTTCTGGTGAGGGCTCTCTTCCTGGGTTGCAGGTGGCTACCTTCTCTCTGTGTCCTCACATGGTGGTGGGAGAGAGAGAGAAAGCTCTCTGGTCTCTTCTTTTAAGGGCGCTCATCTATGAGGACTCTACCCTCATGACCTCATTTGAATCTGATTAACCTTCAAAGGCCTCACCTGCAAATAACATCATATTGGGGTTAGGGCTTCAATATATGAATTTTCAGGGGGATACAAACATTCCTCACTCCGTAAATCTCTTTATCCTACCTTCCTACTTTACTATGTGTAATCATTATAATGACTACAAATATCAAGCACTTACTATGTGTTTCATATTTTTTTTATTTCATTCAATTCTCATTCTTATCCTAAGAGGGTAGGTAATTGATATGGCTTGAATATTTGTTCCCTCCAAATCTCAAGTTAAAATGTGATCCTCAGTGTTGGAGGTGGGACTGAGTGGGAGGTGTTTGGGTCCCCAGGGCAGATCACTCATGCATGAATGGCCTGGTGCCCTCCTGGTGGTAACATGGTAATGAGTGAGTTCTTGCTCTATTAGTTTATGCAAAATCTGATTGTTAAAAAGAGGCTGGCACATCCTCCCCTCTCTCTTGCTCCTTCTCTTGCCACATGACAGGCCCTCTCCCCCTTCACCTTCTGCTACGATTTAAAGCTTCCTGAGGCCCTCACCAGAAGCAGATACTGGCACTATATTTCTTGTACAGCCTGCAGAGCCATGAGCCAAATAAACCTCTTTATAAATGGTCCAGCCTTGGGTATTCCTTTATAGCAACGTTAAATGGACTAATAATACAGCACTTTTGTCCCTATCTCAGAAATGAGGAAAAAGTCACAGAGTAGATAGACCATTTGCCCAAAGTCTTACAACCACCAAGGGGTGGCCCTACCCAAGCCTGGAATCAGGGGCTCCTGACCCCAAAACCAAAGACTAACCACTCTCTTGTATTGCCTAGAGCAGGAGTTGGTGAATGTTTTCTGTAAAGGGCCAAATAGTAAATATTTTAGGCTTTGCAGGGCATATGTTCTCTATCATAACTACTCAACTCTGCCATTATAGCACAAAAGCAGCCATAGAAAATATATAAATGAATGAGCATGGCCTTGTTCCAATAAAACTTTATTTATGGACTCTGAAATTTGAATTTCATATAGTTTTCATGTGTCACAAAATAGTCTTCTTTTGATTTTTTTCCCAACCATTTAAAAATGTAAAACCAATCTTAGCTCACAGGCTGTACAAAAACACATAGTATGCTGATCCCTGGCCTAAACCACTACATTGAACTTAGAATAGTAATTAGTTTTTAAACATATCTCTCTTCTCCAATTCCCCCTGACCTTCTCAAGCAGGAGCCTGCAGTACTCATTCTGTTTCTCCAACAGCCCACTTAACATTTTCCTCTTCAGTGTCTTTTCATACAGTATAGGGCTGCTTCCTTACCACCTTCATGTCCTTGTCCTTCTCAGCGAGGTTGGCCCTGGCCACACATCTAAAAGTGTAGCAGCCTCCTCTACAATTCATGCCCTTTATCCTGTTTTATCTTTCTCCTTTGTACTTCTCAAGCACGTAATTTTATAACCAAGCATGTAGTCTTTCCATTTATCTTGTTATTTATCTTGTTTAGTGTCCCCAGTAGAATGTTAGTTACTTGCAGGCAAGCACTTCCCTTTTGTACACTGCTGTAAACCCAGAACCTAGAAGGGTATGTAGCGCATAGTAAGAGCAAAATAAATATTTTCTTAAGGAATCATTCACTTATCTAAGTCATTTTAAAAATCCAGCACAGAGTAGATTCTCAAAATTAAAAGCTTAGGCTGGGCACAATGGCTTAATGCCAGTAAACCCAGCATTTTGAGAGGACGAAGTGGGCAGATCACTTGAGGTCAGGAGATCCAGACCAGCCTGGCCAACATGGTGAAACCCCATCTCTACTAAAGATACAAAACTTAGCCAGGTGTGGTGGCAGGCACATGTAATCCCAGCTACTCAGGAGGCTGAGGTAGGAGAATCACTTGAACCCAGGAGGCGGAGGTTGCAGTGAGCAGAGATCACGCCTTTGCACTCCAGCCTGGGCGACAGAGCAAGACTCCATCTCAAAAAACAAAAACAATTAAATGAACAGCTAGATGAGGTATGGATCATGTTTCCTCCCAAGATCTTATGCTTTTGGGTTTGTAGAAAATCTCTCGTTTTCTATGGAGTATGTAGAGGGCAGAAACGGGCCCTTGCTTTGTCTATCTGATCTCCCTGTTAGATGCTGATCTGCACTGAGGTTTCTTGGAGGTGTGAACTCCTGACCCTGTTCCTTCTGGAATGCTGGGCTGGAGTATCTCAGGGAGGAGGCAGGACGTGACTAGGGCAAGGGGATCAGCCTCAGACGGGAGCAGCAGATGGAGCCGGGGACAGCTTGGTAAGGAAGGCCTGGAATCCTGGCAGGAAAGAGAAAAGGTGCATGCCAGGGTTCCCGGGCGGGCTGGCAGAGTAGAACAGGCTTCTTGTTAAGTTAATTGAGGTAATTTCTGCTGCCACCTTTTGGATAGTAGCAAAATTCTCTTTCCACCAGCCACTGATCATATCTCTGCCTCCTGCCACATTTCATTGTACAGACAGTGCACTAAATTTAGCTACATTTATTTAGCTGTTCCTTAAAACTTTGTCACTTAAAAAATAATTATAGGATTTCTCTGACAGACTGCAATACACAGAGTGCACCAAATTACAGGTATAATTTGGAGATCCAACTGGGATCACCAAATAAAATTGACAGCAGCGGCCTAATTCCAGAATAATCCATGTGGCACTGGAGAGGATTTGTTCCTTAGGCCCCTCTCCTTAATCTGTGTATTGAGCCAAAAGGTCAAAGAAACCAAAGCGAAATAAAGGAAGTGGCCTTTAGGCCAAGGTATGGACCCCGGGGAAGTCCAGCCTTCCTTCTGCTTGGCAGAACTGGGCAGACCACCAGGCCCCAGACGTGCTCTCCCCGAGTGCAAAGAAAGTTAACTTCCATCCTTCCACCCAGCCAGGAGCCTGACAAGGTGAGCTCTAGGAGAGAAGGGCTTCATTAATTTTTAAATTTTTCTTTTGCATTTTCTGTGATTGTGAACTACAGGAACCAAGGTTTGGCTCCCAAGGAAAAATTGATGCTCAGGAAGAAAACAGCAGGTCCTTCTGGGAAGTGAAGACACCACTCAGCAGAGCCTAAGTGGACATAAAGCCACAGAGTGATGGATAATTGTGTTACCAATTCATTTCACAAACGGTGCTGAGGTCCTGCTGAGCTGCTGCTTTTGTACAGACCCTGGGGACACACAAGCCAATCAGAAAAGTAAGGGAGACCTATTCAGCCTAAAACCTTCTGCAGATGCTACAGAAGGGCCCTAGAGGGGCAGAGAGAGCCAGGCTTGGGGTCATGCCTCGGGGAGCAGCTGGGCACAGAGGCCAGGAACTGGCAAGGAGGATGGCGCCGCCCTATTGGTGATTTTTGATGTCTGTGGATTTCCTCCTCTCTAAATCAAGCTCTGTTCTTCTCAGATACATCATTGTGGCTTTCAGGTAGGAATAAAGAACTCTCTGGCAAGGGATATTTCCCTGGGGAGCTGGGTGGAGTCTAGAGCATCCCTTCAGAAGTTAGCACTTCAGAGGTTGATTTCTGGAACAACTGGTGGCTAGGAGCACCGCCAGCATTAATACAGCGAGATAGTCCAGTTGGAAGGAATCTTTCCGATTTTCTGTTCCAAGATCTGTGTTGTTAACATTGCTAACTCAAGCCCCAGAACAGTTAAGTGACTTGTCACAGGACATAGAGCAAGGCTGGGGACAAGTCTTGAAAAGAAACTAGTTCTCCTGTCTCTCATTCCAGGGCTACCATTTATTTATTTATTTATTTATTTATTTATTTATTTTTATTTATTTATTTTTTGAGATGGAATCTTGCTCTGTCACCCAGGCTGGAGTGCAGTGGCAAGATCTTGGCTCACTGCAAGCTCCGCCTCCCAGGTTCACGGCATTCTCCTGCCTCAGCCTCCCAAGTAGCTGGGACTACAGGCGCCCGCCACCACACCCGGCTAATTTTTTTGTATTTTTAGTAGAGACGGGGTTTCACCGTGTTAGCCAGGATGGTGTTGATCTCCTGACCTTGTGATCTGCCCCCCTCAGCCTCCCAAAGTGCTGGGATTACAGGTGTGAGCCACTGCACCCGGCCCAGGGCTACCATTTTTAATGCAACTCCTGGCTAGTACAAAGAGTACTAGTTTTGGAGCCAGATGATTTTGAATTTGAATCCAGGCCCTGGCACACACCAATTCTGAGGCCTAAGTAAGTCTCTCAAAGTTACTGTTTCCTCATCTGTAAAATGGAGACAGTCATTTCCTGCTGGGCCTCCTGTATTGTGTGGTTAAAAAGATCAAATGATCCAGGTTGGGAGAAAGTGCTTTGTAAGTTGCAAGGCACTGAATGAATACCGCTCATGGTCATATTGCCATCTGTAGCTGAGATCCCAAAGGAGCCCAACTTTCCAACAGGAGCCCTAAACAGAACAGCAGAACAGTGTCCCCAGAGCACCTAGAAGGCAGGAAGCAGGCCTCAGCACCACCCCACTGTCCATCCTTCCCTCTGTCCACTTCCTCTCCCACAGGGCCTGAGAAGAGTGAGCTGCAAATCTTTCCGTATTGCACAGTAGCTCTGAGTCCCTGGCTATGCAATAGCCATGAGGAAAATCCAGGGCATTTGACTAGTTCTTTCCTGCTGGTGTGAACATCTCAATTCTCAGCCTTTGCCTTGTTTCCCAAGGCCTTTGGGTATGTAGAGGACCCTGTCCTTGGGAGGACCCTGTCCTTGGGTTCTACCCATCTCCCATGGAACCAGAGCCTACCCTGCAGTCTGGAAGGGGTGACAGCAAATTTTTAGGACCACAGACTGGGATGGCTAGTAGTTGGCAGCTGGCCCTGGCCTTTGATCACTGCTTCTGCAAAGCCTATGACCAGAACCAGCAGCCCAGATTTCTGCAGCTCACCTGCAGGACCCTACACAGTCACAAACCCTGCTAGTACCTAGGGAGGCAGAGGACAGACTTGAGCTGCCACTGCAGATAGCCTAACTGGTGACCATCTCTGAGTGTAACCTCCTGCACTAACTAATGCACAACATTACTATTCACTGAGCACCTGCTATATGTCAGGGACTTCCCCAAGCACTATTGACTTGGTCTTCTAATGCCTGCTAAGTAAGAAACAATTGTTTCTATTACACAAATGAGGAAATGAGAGTCCAGAAAGGTTGTAAAATTTGCCCAAGGTCATGCAGCTAACAACAACATTGATAAAGCAGTAATGAGTGCTTTCAATTGTGGATTTTCTCAACAACCCCTACAATAACCTGGAGAGGGTTAGAACGCTCCCTGTCTTGTAGATGAGAAGGCTGGGTATGGAAGAAGCTAATGACTTGCCCACTCACATAGATAGCAAATTACCATTGATCTGTAGTCAAATCCATGCCCCACTTATGTGGTTTCCAACCCACATGGGCTGGTGCTGGATTTAGACCCAACATTTCTGATGCTAACCCCAGTGTTCATGCCCCAGTCCCGGTCATTTGGAATTCTTGCTGCAGAATCACCACAGAATCACCAAGGTAGCCTTTTCCAAGCGTAGGTTCTGAGATTCTGCCTCTGAAGACCTGTTTCAGCAGATCTGGTAAGGGCCTATGTGGCTGTGTTTATAACACATGCCACAGGTACTTGCAGTGCTTGAAAAGCACGAGGTTCTATTACAGCTTCCCTAACTGCCAAGGTTTCTAATGGCAAATCCTGCCTCGTAGGTTTCCATCTTCCATCCTTAACTTACAGCGTCACCACAACTGGCTCTGTCCTTGCCTCCATCACTGACAACCTGCCTTCGCTGTAAGTCCAGAGGCCGCTTTCAGATGCTTACCTCAGTTGGCTTCTCAGTGGCCACCAACGCCTGTGACCACTCCTCATTCCTGATTCTCCATAACATTCCTTTTCTCCTGGTTTTCCTCCCATACTACTCTGGCCTCTTCTTTTAATTAAGTCTCCTAACTGACTTCCGGCCTCATTCTGTCTCTCCCCAGGACTTTGTGTTCAGCCACATTCTTTTGCCATTTTCCTTGCCCTGGGTGACCTCATCCACGCCATGGCTTCAATTGCTCCCTCTGTGTGGATAATGCACATCACCTACCCAGAGCTCCCTGAAATCCCCAAGCCTCTTGATAGTGTCCACCCGGCTATCTCACAAGGCACCTCAAATGCAGCATGTCTGTAACGGATGACAGAGTCTTCTCTGGCTACTACTGCTGTCTCATCTCTGTGAAGGATCACTCATGGGTCACTGAAGGCAGAGACCTGGTGGTTTATGTTGGGGGGTGTTTCCCCAACCCCTCCTGCATCAGGTTATTACCAAATGCCAGATATTCTAGCTCCTAACTTCCCAAGGAGCACCCCCAGGTCCCCATCTACATGGCCTCTGTCCCAGTTCTTTCTCTTCAGGGCCCTGATGGATCCCTTTAGTGTCTTTCTGACCAGGTTCTTATCCACCCAATGCACTCTCCTCCCAGTAGCCAGGCCACATGCCTACTGAAAACCATGAAGTATTTCCCTATTGCTTCAGGGTAAAATCCCAGTCTTTTATCTCCTGCCCAAAGCACTTCCTGAGGGGGCCAGACTTTCCTTTCCAGCCACATCCCCTGCAACTCCCCATCAAACAGTTCTATCTGTGCTCCAGGCACTTAGACCTGCACACAGTTCTGGGAAAGCTTCAGGGTCTTTTGATATCTTTGCACATGCTGTTCTCTCTGGCAGGAAGAGACTTTGCTGACTTCTGCACTTAACACTATCTCCTTCTCCACTGTTCATCCTTCAAGTCTCCCTCAGGAGCCACCACCTCTAGAAGCCCTCCCTGACTGCTGGGTTTGGGCAGGTACCCCTCCCTTGCCTGCCACAGCAGCCTGTGACCCCTCTTTCCCAGAGTTTACCACCAACCATGAACCATCACTCTCCCTCCCAGTGGAACACCAGCAACTTCCCATTTTGTTCATCTCTCTCTGTCCAGAGCACAGGTCAGTACAAGTGGCACTTAATAAATGTCTGTGGCCTAATAATGATGAAAATAATAACATGTGCCAAACACTTACTGAGGACTTAAGACTACCAGGCACCATATTAATTATGGACATTGTATCACTTAACCCATACAACAACCCTATAAGGAAACTCTAATTCTCATTCCCATTTTATAGATGAGGAAACTGAGGTGGGGGATGTTAGTTAATTTACCCAAGGTGACACATTTAGTAAGTGATGGAGTGGGAACCAAAGCCCCGTCAAATTAATGAATAAAGGAGGAAATTGTGACTCTGGCTTGACCCTGCGCTCAAAATTGAGATAGGACCACATGTCAGTAGTAATATTTAATCGTGTCATCCTGAGTAAAAGTCACTGGGAAATCAACTCCGAATTCACTGTGGGAAAGAGAAGACCTTTAGCTTTTTAAAACTAACCAGCCATCCTGCAACCCTGAGAACCTGAAGTAAGCATTCCTAAGACATTCCTAAGAAAAACATGTGCGAGGTTTTCCTCCTGAGTCTCCCTTCCCCTGACTCCTCCCTCTCCCTCCTCCTGCACTGTCCACTGAATAAGTCCCAGTTCCACCTTGCTTCCCCGGCAGCCAGAGGGGCCATCTGCAGAGAACCACAAACTCCATCTCTTCAATTACCCCCAATTCCCAGCTGCTCCGGGAACACATGAGGGCAGAAAAATGGCTTGAAATCTGTATGCGGGAGAGGTTGGGAAGGTTGAAGAGAGCAATTTTTGTTTCACATCATTCCTTTGTATAATGTTGTATCCTTCTGACAAGTCCCCATAATACATCTTAACTTCACCAATTGCTGCCTTAAGAGAAAACAGTGAAGACCTATCTTTAATGTCAAAGGAACAATGGGCGTCCTTCCAGAGGAGGAAAATGACTTGCTTTGAAAGAGTTGAAGAAGAAAAGTGCAAAATGTTCCA
The DNA here is from genome assembly GCF_000001405.40 of Homo sapiens. Taxonomy (NCBI): domain Eukaryota; kingdom Metazoa; phylum Chordata; class Mammalia; order Primates; family Hominidae; genus Homo; species Homo sapiens. The sequence continues at coordinate 107,049,683 of NC_000009.12, forward strand.
GCTTAACGTGAGGGGGGAGAAAGTCAGCAGCTGTGTACTGCCACGTCCGCTCCCCGGCTGCACGACTAGGGCGGCCCTGCCAGCTACATCTTTCTGTTGGATCCACAGGCTGAGGAGGGCGCCTCTTAGCTTAAGTGGGGGCAGATAGTGGGTGTTTATTCCTAGGGAAAGTCGAGCCAGCTCCTCTCGGCCCAGGTGTGCCTGTGGGTGTGTATACCTGGATGTAGAGTTGCTGCAGTTCCCACTTATTGAAATCTGCTTTACCTTCAAAGACAATGGGGACCTGAATGCTTAAGTGGCATGCCTGGGAACTTCAGCCACTGGCTGTTGTTCTTCCTCCAGAGCATTCTGTTTGCACCTGATTTTCTCCACATGTGGCCACTCTCCACCAGGCATTGAGATGCAGATAGATTCTAACCAACTTTGGCACAAAGTCTCAGTGGACTAAAGATTATTTAGGTCCACCTCATTAGACTTTTCCCCATAGGTTGGGAACTTCTTCGTCTACCTTTCCATTTTCAGATTTGGCACTGCTACACCAAGCTCCTTGCAACTTTCTGATTGTGCAATTTCATGAATTCCTGTCCTGTGCCCTGGTGCCTTTGCACATGCTGTTCCCTTTGTCTGAAATTCCCCTGGGAAGTCCTGTTCATTTCTTTAAGACTCAGCTCAAATATTTCCTCCTTCTGGAAGCCTATGTGACCTTTTAAGTGAGTTTATTACCCCCCTCCTTTGGATGCCAGGCTACTTCTACTATAGCAGACATTACCCTGAATGAAATTTATTGATTTACATGATGCCTCTATTAGGTGATGATGGTTTCGGAAGCAGGGACTTTGTTTATTCATATAGAGATAGATATTATAGGTATAGATACAGACATATGTCCACAGCCTGGACCTAGCTCAGTGCCAGGCACATTGTATATGCACAATAAATCCTTTTTGGATGAGAGGATCTAAACCTGAGGTCCTTAATCCTGGCTCAAAATTAGATTTACCTGGGAGATTATGTCTAACACATCTCAATAACAGGTTCCTACCCTAAACTAAATTAATTAGAGTCTCTGGATCGCTATGTAACTTGCATTTGAATCACCTTAGAGGGCTCATTAAACACAAATGGCTGACCTCCACCCCCAGAGTTTCTAATTCAGTTGGTCTGAAGTGGGCCCTAGAATTTCCATTTCTAACAAGTTCCGAGGTGATGTGGATGATGGGGGGATCTGAGGACCACACTTTGAGAACCACTATCTAGGCCCAGGACTTCCCTACTTATCCATTTCAATCAGCTTGAACCAGCTGAGACGCTCTTGCATATCCTGAAGTGGTCTAAGTGCTGTGAATTTGAGTCAGGGTTCCCTGCTTGCCCTAAAAAGGCTTCAAAGCAGCTTCCCAAATTTCAATGTGCATAAAAATCACCTGGAATCTGTTAAATTACTGAACCTAATAAAGTAGGTCTGAGATTCTGCACTTGTAACAAGCTCTTAAGCAATGCCTACATTCCAGAGCAGGAACTGGCAAACTTTTTCTGTAAAGGGTAAGATACTAAATATTGTCAGTTTTATTGGCCATAGAGTCTCTGTAGCAATTACTCAACTCTGCATTATAACCTGAAAGCAACCACAAACAATACAAAAGTGAATGGGCATTTTCATTCATAAATGAATGGGCATTTCAAAACTTTATTTACAACAACAGGTGGGAAAGACAGGATTTTGCTCATGGGTCATAGTTTGCTGAGTCTGCTTCTAGAGACTTGAAAAAGCAAAACGTATTGCATTGGCCAAGACAAAAGTGAGGTTCAGGTGGCTGGAGAGGAGGCAAGAAATGAGTTGGGTTTGGGGTTAAAAAGTGACTTAAGCTCTGAGTAGAGGAAGGAAAGGAGAGAGGACATTGTTGGCAGAGGGACAGAGGCCCAGAGGGGAGACTGAGAGCCTTCTAGCCACAATGGAATGACCAGAATGTGGGTAATTAGACTATATTAGCTTCAAAGTGACCCACTTAACTCTTTCCCCTTACACCTTCCCTGCACCAAATTAATAGACATTTATCAGAACAGCCTGTTTCAGGAAGTAAAAGATCAGGGGCCAAGCAGCAGGTATGTGTGTTGGGGAGAGGGGTCTCTGAATTATTTCTTTTGCCATTGTTGAGTTCCAGGGTCCAATAGTAGAAGCAGCATCAGTGAAGAGTCCTGAGACTTTGGACTCACTATTATGTGTTCAGCATTGTTCTAGTGCCTTAGATTGTTACATTTAATACTACCAACTCTGTGTGGTATGTACTATTAGCCCCATATTAGAGAAGCCAAGGTGATAATGCTTATCTAACCCACATGTACCACAAAAACGATTCTCTAAGGAAAAGAAGTATTCTGTTACCAGAAGAAAAATACAATACACATTCATTCAACTCCATTGCCCAACGTATGTACATACAATTTCCAAAATGCCCCCACCTAACATGGTACAAATATTCCATTTAAAACTGAAAACACACTCATACATATTCTAAAGGGAAGTCTAGATAAGTAATAAAAATAACTAGCATTTATTAAGCTCTTAATTTATGCCAGTCACTACAATTTCTTTACACGTATTGACTTATTTAAGTCTCACAAAATTATTAAAAAAAAAGATATTACTGTTTTATCCCAGGTTTACATATGAAGAAACAGAGGCACAATGGAGTGTTATTAGTTGCCAAAAGTTATGCAAGTAAGTAGTAGACTTGGGATACCAACATAAGCAATCTTATTCCAGAGCCAGTGCTCATAATTTCTACACAAACTTAACTAGTTGACTGCCTCTCTCTTCTAAGACAGGATTTCTGCAATGAAAATTCTATTCTGGTGTGGGTGAAGTTTCGTGTGTCTAGAAAATCATGGTAAATGACATATTCACTCACTCCTCCCCAAAATATATGATACACGATGAGAAAGAAAAAGATAACTACCATTAAAAACTTTCTTGGACAAAGAGAAGAGAAACAATATATTGTAATCATCAACTGTATAGCATCTACCATGAGGATAAGTGGATGGTAGGTAGGAACAACCAGGGCATCTCTGCCCTGTGATGAAAGGTATTCCTTGGTCAACCTGTCTGGCTTCCCCTCATTCTGCTCTGGCAGGAAATCCTTTGTCTATTCATCCTGTGGCCATAACTAAGCGTGACAATAAGACGTTTCCCTTCCCATGGCTACTTGCTTTCTCTCAGTGAGTTCATGAGCCTGGGACTGCCCCAGTTGTTGACCAGTTTGTTGCAGATTATCATTTGTCAGGTTTTGTTTTTCAGGCATTACAACCTTCTTAAATCTTAATAAACACTTGATTGATTTGCATTCAGTCAAATCCAGTCAGAAAGATGGGTCCTTGAATCTCAACCACCATCTGGAAGTTTCTGTTCCTTGGCAGCAGGCCTTCCTGTTGTGTCCACCGTACTAATGATGCACTAAGGCAGGGAGGCAAGACTGAAATTTCTTTTGCTTCTCGTTGCATCCCAGAGAAGGGCTTTTTATGCTACGGAAGAAAGATGATGTTCGGAGGGGTTGGATATCATGCTACCTCAAGGTTCCAGTCTCTTCTCTTTGTATTTAGCCTCCCTTCATTTCATTTATGTTAAATTTATCCTGGGATAGAGAATTTAGCTTTTCCAACTCACAGGGCTCCTCTCAGCCATTCTGGACTGCTGACTGATACAGGGTGGGCTTCTCTGAGAGAAGTTCTCTCTTCTTCCCATTGCTTCCTTCTTCCTTACAGGGCATTACTGAAGGCCATAAGGAATAGACAATTCTCTCCAATATAATTATATTTTCTATCTCTAGAACATGGTTTGAGCCTTAATAATATTACATAAAACAGTTCAATCCAGCCGACTTCCCAGCCAAGAACAGAGAAATTCTTGGTGCTCTGCAACCTACTGTGACTCAGCCAGTTCTACATTTTAGGATGTCACTTACAAAACCTCACTTCCAAGAGCCAATGTTATTGTTATTTAGGTCTCATTTCATTGTAAGTGAAAGAAATCCATCTTAAAATGGCTTAAGAAGAAAAGGGAATGTATTGGCTCATGTGAATGGGAAATCCAGGGCTTCTGCTGGCTTTAGATGTGGCCATTTCTAAAGCCTGAAATTATGCCATCAGTCTACTCTTGCTCCCTCAAAATCTCAGCTCTGATTTCCTTTGTATTGATTTTATTCTCTGTCAGTAGTTCCAGGTTTATATTTAACCAGAAGAAATAAAGCATCACTTTTTGAATACAGTTACGTATTACATAAGAATATTGCAAACAACAATGGACCACATATATGGTGGTGGTCCTATAAGATTATACTATATTTTTACTGTACTTTTTCTATGTTTAGATACACAAATACTTACCATTGTGTTACAATTGCCTACAGTGTTTTGTACAGTGACATGCTGTACATATTTGTAGCCTAGAATAAACAGGCTATACTATACAGCCTAGGTGTGTAGTAGGCTATCCCATCTAGGTTTGTGTGAGTACACTGTATGACGTTCACACAATGATGAAATCTCCTAAGGACACATTTCTCAGAGTGTATTCTCAATGAGCCCCATTGAGAAGTGATGTATGACTCTAATTCCAGTCAAAAACTCATTGCTGATAATCATTTACCCAACTGGAGCCACATGACCATTCCTAAACCAATCACTGTGGATAGAGAGGACACAACACAATGATTGGTCGTGCCTGGCCAAGTGCCCAAACTCAAAGCCAAGAATTGGAAACTAGCCCAAGCTAAAACACACAGTCTGAAAATAGGAAGAATATTTTCTCAAGAGAAAAGAGTGGTTCTGTTAGCAGAAGAGATGCTGGACAGGCAAACAACAGGAGTCCACTTTAAGGACCATGACTATTTGTGCTGACTCTTGTTTCCCCAAGCCCAGCCCAATGCTCGTCACATAGAGAGAACTCTTAATACTTGTTGAATGGATGAATGAGTTCAGAGATTGTTTATATTCCAATTACTCTATGGGGAAGCCTAGTGGAGGTTGAGCTCTTTAGGATCGTCCATGAGTTCAAGTGGATAGCCCAATTTTAATGACTCCTGGATTTGCCTCATTGGTGAAATAATCCTCCTCTCTCCATAGGGACCCCTCTTCCCAACACTTCATCAGAAGGGAAATCTGGCAACTTACATGCTCCCTGAAATTTAAAAATACAACAAATTTATCTGAAGCAACAAAATTGTATATTCATTCTTTCTTTCATTCATTCATTCCACCAACATTTACTGAGCACTTATTTTATACTAAGCATTGTGCTAGGTACAAACATATGAGCATGAAGGTCATAATCCCTTACCTTAAGAAGCTCAAGCCTAATAGGCCAACAAGTGATTTAAAAAAAACAAAACAAAACCCCACACACAAAAAAAACAAAACAAAATGGAGGAAGCTTATGAAGTAAAAGATTATGGGCTTTGCTGGCCAGGTGCAGTGGCTTACACCTGTAATCCCAGCACTTTGGGAGGCCGAGGAGGGTGGATCACCTAAGGTCGGGAGTTCGAGACCAGCCTGGCCAACATGGTGAAACCCTGTTTCTACAAAAAATACAAAAGTTAGTCAGATGTGGTGGCTCATGCCTGTAATCTCAGCTTCTCAGGAGGCTGAGGCAGGGGAATCGCTTGAACCTGGGAGGCGAAGGTTGCAGTGAGCCAAGATAACACCACTGCACTCCAACTTGTGCGACAGAGCAAGACTCTCTCAAAAAAAAAAAAGATTTGGGCTTTGCTGTTTGACCTTAGTTTGAAATTTGGCTTTACCTTCTAATTATCAATGAAACATTGGGAGTAATTAACCTCTTCAAGCCTCTTTTTTCTTATCAGCAAAATTAGTTATAATTGTATCACCAACTTCAGAGGGGTATCATGTGAATTAAATGATAATATATATGTACAGCATGTAACTAGAGCCTGATAGAAGTGGTAGCTCTTCTATTTGAAGCTGTGGAAGATTAGAGGAAAAATCAACTAACTCACCCTGTAGAAGTCAAAGAAAATTTGATGAAAGACATGAGATTTGAGCTAGTTCTTAAGGATGAACAGGAGATCACAAAGTAGAGGATGATTGGGGTGGAGAGGAGCATTCTGACAGAGGAAATAGTTTATTCAAAGCTTTGAAAACCTGAAGAAAATTGGTACATTTAGAGAGCAGCAAATACTTCCAGACGCCTGGTGTATTACTGGGATAGTGAGGGGAGTGGAAGGTGTGAAATGCCAGTATTCAGGGAAGGAATAAGGATTCTGGGATTTCTTTGTCCAGTGGGAGTAAAGGGCACCTGGCAATCTCTGCCCCAAAACCATAAATCATTGGTGTTCCAGGTAAGTTGGTGTCAGAACAGCCATTATTTCTTCTATACACACATTAAGATGGTACCTTTCAAATAGATGGAGAAGTTGAGGGTCCATTTATAGTTCCTTCTAAATGACTTGCAATAAATCACAATATTTATTATTCAGAGTCTGCTTTGAATGAAGCAGGGATTGTGAGTTGGGGTGGGGGAGGGGTGTGGCTTTACTCCTGGGGAAAAGGCTGGGGGATTTAATGAGATAATATTCATAAGGTGCCTTGAACTCCCCAAGGCGATATGCTACAGCTACCACTTAGGGACCCTGCAAGATCTGGGGAGATAATGTTTCTAAGTGAAGATGCCAGACTGCAGGAATGCTAGACAGAACAGAGGGGGGTGGAGGGGGAAGACTTGGTCCTTAAGTAATTTCTCTCATCAGCATCACAGCTAGAACAATCCATTACAGCAAGCACAGAGAAATGCCAGTTAGGAGGCTTGGGTCCAGATGCTCAGGCCCATGTGGCATCCTTCACTGGAGAAACACCCACTAGTTTCTACCCTGGGCCACACGCCACTCACACATTAAACAGACTACCAGGGGCTCTGGAGCCTTGCTCACAGCCTTGGTCCTGAACCTTTCTCTCTTACCTATCTTGTATTCCACTTCTCATTCTAATTCTGGTGGTCAGTTATGGCAGAAAAAAAGACAGCTAGGATCCAGGATTCCAAATTCCTGACTAGCTGCTTACTGATGTCACAGGTCCCTCATGAGTGCATAGTACAAAAAGAACATAAACACTTTGTCGACCGCTAGGATGGGGGACGGCTAGATTGTGGGAGGGGAGGTCATTATTAGCTCCTCTCACCCCGCTGAGTCCCTCCTTTTCTCTGGATCATTCTCTTATTCTTACCTGGCATTACACATAGAGACAGTGATAGCCCCAGTTCCATGAATGGACCATTCTTGAAAGAATAAAACATTTTTTAAAAAATCCATAAAGAAGAGAGAACTTCAGATCTCTTTGTTGCCTCACCCAAAGCTTGCTGCCTTCACTGTGGCCCAGTTCTTGGTCCCTGATGACTCTATTTGAATATGATCCATTTTAGAATTCCTTCTCCTTACACATCGTATTTGTTAGATGAAACTAACTGCTGTAACAAATCCTAAAATTTCAGTGGCTTAACTCTGTTAAAAGCTTGCTTTTTATTTGTGGTCAATGTGTATGTTTTTCTTCAGTCTAGGGGAGCCAGTCCACAGGGGCAGGGAGAGACAGGCTTATGTTCCATTTAGGGATTCAAGGTGACAGAGTTTTCCATCTGCATCAAGTGGCTTTCAGGATCACCCTGGTGTTAGCATCCAATTTGCAAAAGAAGAAGAGCATGAAGGATTAGATGTGGGAGATATTGGTGGGCCAGGCCTCAGAGGGACACACCTCACCACCACTCATAATCCATCAGCTAGATTGCCATAATATGATCCCACTTAACAGCGAGGAAGGCAGGAAATGTAGTCTTACTGCATGATCAGAGCAGGAGTGAATGGAGGATTTGATTAACAGCTGGCTAGCTTGCCATGATATGGATCTGCAAGGTCCAAATTGTAAAATATTACGTGAGAATTTGGCTTTAAGGATATAGGATCAGGGTGTTGAAAAGAGTATGGCAGCACTTGCAGATCCCAGTCAAATCAATGGAAAGCCATTGAAGACATGGTGGGGAAGATTAGATATTTGCTTCAGTTTGAGAAATGCTGCTTGCAGGAGCATCATGAATTGGGCAGAGGGCTGGGGCCTCAGAGGCCCAGGGCAATAGGGAGATACCACATGTTGATAGTTCTGGGTAGAAGTGGCCATCAAAAAGACTAGACAGTGGGACAAGCTTAGGGATATATAAAGCGGTTGGTTGAAAACCTCATCTTTGCAGATTTTAAGTCTTTAAGAAAGATGACAGGCATGTGGAAGGAGGAGAAGTCTGTGAATAGGTTACAAAAATCCTTCATGACTGAAAGTGGCACAGAGGTTGATAAATAATATCACTGGAGTTAGGAAAAGAGCAATGGGACTGCCTTAAAGGAGATGCATAAGGAAAGAGTCATACAGTATTCTGGACAGGGGAGCAGAAAGGTAGGAGGATTCCCAGCTCCATGGTGTGGTCTCGAGGTGGAAGGTATGAGAGCAGGAGCAGCCTTTGCTTGAGAGGGCTTAGTTGGCTCTGGCTGCCAGGACACAGCACCATAGACTGGTTTATAAACAACAGAAATTGACTTCTCCACAGTTCTGGAGTCTGGGAAGTATATCATCAGGGTACCAGTATGGTCACGTTCTTCTGAGAGCCCTCTTCTGGGTTGCAGAATGTCAACTTCCTGTTGTATCCTCACATGGAGGAAAGACAGCTAACTAACTCTCGGGACTCTTCTTAAAAGGACACCAATCCTATTAATGAGAGTGCCACCATCATGACCTAATCACTTCCCAAAGGACCCACCTGCAAATACCATCACATTGGAATTTAGGGTTTCAACGTATGAATGTGAGGGACACAAACATTCAGTCCATTGCAGCCGTAAAAGATACAGTGGGCTCAGATACAGCCAGGTCTCAGTCCAGATGAAGCAGTGCAGAGGGCATACCAGGAGGCCTTTGAGGGTAGGCAGGCATCTTATAGAGGCTCAATGCAGAGGAGATCCCAAGAGGAGAATGGCTTGGGAATGGGCCAGGGCTGACCTAGGTGGGACTTTGAGAAAACGGGAGAGAAGAGCTGACCAGATGGACCTCGGACTGAGGAAGACAACAAGCCCCATTATGACTACTGCATTTCACTGTATGTGAATTATACCCCAGTTTAAAAAAAATGAAATAAAACTCATGAGGGCAACTTTTTAAAAAATGATGTAAATTACATAGAAATATATCAACCGTTTCCCCCAAATGAAGAAGTTTGGGTTTTATACACATTTTTAAGAGGTTTAAAGTATGAAGAAGACCAAATAACTTTTTAAAATCTAAATATAATGGCTAATAGGTGAACAATAATGAATATTTAAGAAAGACCTCAAACAAAGAAAAGAATTATTCTGCTGCTGTCTTCCTCAAGCACATGAAGTTTCTCTGAGCTGGTGAATGTTTCAATTCAGGTTGGTAATGCCTGACAGAGAAGTAGAAAGTTAGTTTCCTTCAGAAGGAAAAAGAATGGATTCCACTTTAAAGATTAAATTTTGATCTGGGAGCTATAACAGCACTGTCAAATAATTATTATTGTTATTTTTACAAATCTATTTCACTTTAAAACAAGTTGGGAAATTTCTGACTTAGTTTAAATGAGACCTCAATTCTCCCAGGCCTGATCTGCCACCTGAGGCAGGATCTCCTGCTGAAAAAGTGCTGTGCTGAGGCATTAAAATGGCAGCTCCCACTGAGAGAAATAACGGAGCCAGAATCTTGCAGCAGAGATGCTGAACAGTAGGGGAGGAAGCGAGGAAGGGAAGCTAATTTTTCCAGGCAGATCTGAATGCTTCTTTCTCATAGGCCCTCTTAGTCAATATTTATCTAGCTATTCAAAGAATTATAACCAATTGTTGATCTCTTTTTCCTTTTCTTTAAATGTATTTCTTTGCCTCTTTGTAGTACACTGAATTTGGGGGAACAGAATGAAGTTCTAGCTTCTTCATTCCAAGCCTTACGATATCAGAAGAAAACTTGTGGCTGAGATTTGACCAAACTGTGAGGCCCAGACAATTGGTGCAAGCCCTGTGGAAAACAAAGCTTATGCTACCAGCTTCCAGGTGTTGATTTATAGAGTTAAGCTTCTTTAAGTATATTTTCCTAGAGTCTTTTGTTTTTATTTTTGCCATGGCACCATTTGGAGGGGGCTTTACTGGCCAGTCCTTCTGACTTTCTGCTTTCTCTGACTTTAGACATTAGAATAGTTTTCCTGGGAGAAGAAATCTTCTTTGCTATTTTAAAGTACAGTGGGATACACAGAAAATGTAAAGTAAAAGGTCCCAACTTGCATTTCTGTAACTGTTGAGTAAGAAGTGTAAAGGAGCCCAGGTTTCGCTGGCCTTCCACCTTGGCTTTTTGATGGGGAGCCTGAGCCAAGTCCATAGAGGTCTAGAAGCCAGGGGAGAAATCAGAGATGAAGTCTAAGGGGAAATGCCTGAATTTGTGTGCAGATGTTTTCTTGAGAATGCCTTAAGGAATACCAGTGAGGAAGTGAAGAAAGCAGAACTGGGTGGAGTTGAAGGGGAAGTTGAACTGAGATGCAGTTCCAACAGATCCCAGGAGAGCTCTGAGGCTGAAATGACTCTCAGAGATCTCCAAAATTGAGATGAGAGGGCTGGGACTTTGTATCCCCACAATAACTAGTGGTTGAATAGAGGCTGTCCCCCACGGAGGGGCTACCTTGGGAAAGGCAGCTCCCTTCAGCTAAGGACGATTTCTGTAGATAGTCAGCAGGCAATGCTCCCAGCAGCTGGGAAGTGAATGCCTCAGCTCTGATGGGGGGAATGTGAGTGGTACATCACACACTCATTATGGGGCCACTCTTTATACATGTATACAATTTACTGCTGAAGCCTTTTTTGGACTCTAAAATGTGACTCTTCTCTGTCACTTATGTCTCAGTCTGTTTTGTGTTGCTGTAACAATACCACGGATTGGGTAATTTATAAAGAAAAGAAATTCTCACAGTGCTGAAGGCTGAGAAGTCCAAGATCAAGGTGCCAGCATCTGGTGCAGGCCTTCTTGTTAACAGCATCCACGGTAGAAGGTGGAAGAGAGGGCAGGAAAGCCAGAGATTGAACTCCTAGCATAAAGTCCTTTAATAATTGACATTAATCTATTCATGAGGATGGAGGCCTCATGACCTAAACACCTCCCATTAGGCTCCACTCTTCAACACTGTTTCATTGGGGATTAAGTTCCCAACACATGCTTTTGGGAGGATGCATTCAAACCATCACAATTTGCTTCTGGATTTACACTTGCATGACAATTCTACATCTGTCATCTGGTTTCATAAATCCTAATAGAATTCTAGATGGGAAGGTAACATGATCTAATCCAACACCCTCATGTTACAAATGGAGAAACTGAGGCTATGAGAGCAGGAATAAGTTACTTTTGGTGTCAGACTCAGGATTGGAATCACCTCTTTTGACTTCCAAACTCCCATGCTCTTTCCATTACCAATGTATGCTGCCTCCATTTCATTGTTATGGTGGCCCTGAAAAATACGAAGGAAAAGTATATTTTCTTTATACCTGGGAGATATTGTGGGTTTGATTCCAGATAATTGAAATAAAGCAAATATCACAATAAAATGAATTATATAATTTTTTTAGTTTCCCAAAGCATGTAAAAGTTATGTTTATACTATACTGTTTGTCTCTTAAATCTGCAATAGCATTATGTCTAAAAAAAAGTACATGCCTTAATTTAAAAAATACTTCATTGCTAAAAAAATGCCAACTATAATATCATCTGAGCCTTCATGGAGTCATAATCATTTTGCTGGTGGAGTATCTTGCCTCAGTATGAACGGTTGCTGACTGATTAGGGTGCTGGTTGATGGAAATTGGGGTGACTATGGCAATTTATTCAAATAAGACAACAATGAAGTTTGTTGCATCATTTGACTCTTCCTTTCAGGAAAGAGTTCCCTGCAGCATGCAATGCCATTTGACAGCGTTTTACCCACAGTAGGACTTCCTAACTTCCTTCAAAATTGCAGTCAATTCTCTCAACCCCTGCCACTGTTTTATCAACTAAGTTTATTTAATATTCTAAATATTTTGTTGGCATTTCAACAATATTCATAGCATCTTCACCAGGAGTAGATTCCATCTCAAGAAACTGCTTTCTTCACACCTCCATAAAAAGCAACTCCTCATCTGTTCAAGTTTTATAATGAAATTTTATCATGAGATTCAGTCACATCTTCAGGCTGCACTTCAAATTGTAGTTCTCTTGCTATTTTCACCACATCTGCAGTTACTTCCTCCAATAAAATCTTGAACCCCTCAAAGTGATTCAGGAAGATTGGGATTAACTTTTCCGTCAGACAAATCACCATCTATGGCAGCTATAACATTATGATATATTTATTAAACAATAAGACTAAAAAATCAAAATTACTCCTTGATCCATGGGCTAAAGAATGGATATTGTGGTAACAGGCATGAAAACAAATATTGATCTCCTGTACATCTCCATCAGAGCTCTTGGTTGACCAGGTGCATTCTTACTGAGCTGTAATATTTTGAAAGGAATCTTTTTCTGAGCAGTAGGTCTTAACAGTGGGCTTCAAATATTCAATAAGCCATGCTATAAATAGAATGCTATCATCCAGGCTTTGTCATTCCATTTATACAGCACAAGCAGAGTAGATTTAGCATAATTGTTAAGGGTCCTTGGCTTTTCAGGATGGGAAATGAGCATTGGCTTCAACTTAAAGTCCCCAGCTGCATTAGTCCCTAACAAGAGAGTCAGCCTGTCCTTTGAAGTTTTGAAGCCAGGCATTGACTTCTTCTTTCTAGCTATTGAAAGTCCTAGATGGCACCTTCTATATAGATGTCCTAGATGGCACCCTCCAATAGAAGGCTGTTTTGTCTACATTGAAAATATGTTGTTTAATGGAGCCACCTTCATCAGTTTGTCTTAGCTGGATCTTCTGGGTAACTTGCTGCAGCTTCTACATCAGCACTTGCTGCTTCACCTTTTATGTTACGAAGACAGTGTCTTTTCTTTAACCTCTTGAGTCAAACTCTGCTAGTTTCATACTTTTCTTCTGCAGCTCCTCACCTTTCTCAGCTTTCATAGAATTGAAGAGAGTTTGGCCCTTGCTCTGAATTAGGCTTTGGCTTAAGGGAATGTTGTAGCTGGTTTGATTTTATATCCCAACCATTAATGCTTTCTCAGTATCAGCAATAAGGCTGTTTTGCTTTCTTATTTGTGTGGTAACTAGTGTAGCACTTTTAATTTCCTTCGATAACTTTTTCATTGCATTCACAACTTGGCTAACTTTTTGTCACAAAAGGCCTGGCTTTCAATCTATCTCAGCTTTCAATGTGCCTTCCTCACTAAGCATAATTGATTCCTAGCTTTTGATTTAAAGTGAAGGATGTGCAACTTTTCCTTTCACTTGAACACTTAGATGCCATTGTAGGAGTATTAATTGGCCTAATTTCAATATTGTTGTGTCTAAGGGAATAGGGAGGCAGGAGCGGGGAGAGAGAGAGAGAGATGGAAAAATAGCCAGTGGTAGAACAGTCAGAACACACACAACATTTATTGGTTAAGTTTGCCCTCTTACATGGGCACAACTTGTGGTGCCTCAAACCAATTACAATATCAAGGGTCACTGATCCCAGATCACCATAACAGATACAATAATAATAATGTAGTAGTCTAATGTAATAGCATAATAATGTAATAATAATAATGTGAAAGTTTGAAATATTGTAAGAATTACTAAAATGTGACACAGAGACCCAAAGTGAACACACACTGTAGGAAAAAAGTCACCAATAGACTTGCTCAACCCAAGGTTGCCACAAACCTTCAACTTGTCAAAAACTCCAAATCTGAAAGCATGATGAAACAAAGCACAATAAAATGAGGTATGCCAATATTTATATAAAAATGAAGTGATCTGGCAAAGCTCACGTAAACCAAAAATGAAATTCTAAGACCCCCCAACTATCTGAACGGACTTCCTCCTAGGCCAGGGCACTTTAAAATTTAACCTGAAAGACTGATTCAGGCCACGAAGGGAAGTGGGGATAGGACATACCCCATTATGCCTCTCCAGTATTAACGTCAACATGACCTTAAGTCTGATAAGAACCATTTAAAATTTATTCTCTCTGAAGCCTGCTACCTGGAGGATTTACCTATTTGATAAAACTTCAGTCTCCACAACATCTTATCTCAACCCAGACCTTCCTTTCTATTGATAACTCTTTCAACTAATTACCAATTAGAAACACTTGAAATCTACCTATAACCTAGCCTGGAAGCCCTACCCCCACCACCCCTCCACCCCCACTTTGAGTTGTCCCACCTTTCTGGACTGAACCAATGTATTTCTTAAACGTATTTGATTAAAGTCTCATGTATCCCTAAAATGTATAAAACCAATGCACCCTGACCACCTTGGGCACATGTTCTTAGGATCTCCTGAGGGCTGGGTCACAGGCCATGGTCACTCATATTTGGCTCAGAATAAATCTCTTCAAATATTTTATAGAGTTTCACTCTTTTTGTCAACACTCACAAAGGTAGAAAGTGGAAAGATTCTACAGGTCTGTTAGAGGACAAAGCTGTTGCTCTGCCCACCACATCACCCAGGGGGACCTTCCCCAAGAGGCCCCACCTCTATTCAGTGAAGCTCAATGATCATTTATTGAGCAACTGGACACTGTAGGCCCCGACAAAATAAAGATTAATCATTACATCAACTTTCAATGAGTTCATCCCATCTAAGTGGGGTAAAAAATAAAAGTACAAACCAGTTAAGAGCTACTTGGTAAAGGTTCTGAATGACTAACCAATGCTCCAACAGAGGAGGACCATAACTCAGCCTGAAGGCTTCCTAGAAGAGGTGATGGCTGAAGGTATTCATTTACATTTTAACCATGATTCATTCACATTGAACAATGCCTCATCCTCCCTGCACGCCAGCACCTTGACTTCTAAGGCATTCTCTAGCTCAGGTGTCTCTCCATTATCCTCTCAGGGACCAGAACCAGCCACCTATAAGAGGAAACCAGAGCCAACAGAACCAGTCACCTGTGAGAGGAAACCAGAGCCAAGCTTTCCCCCACCCACCAACGACAGCCCATCTGTAACAGATAATTCATTAAGCCCTCTCAGATCTGAGTGCTCATCTTCTTCCCCTCACCCTCACATTTGTCTGAGTTTATATATCATGACTGCTTAACTGAACAAGTAAAATCACCTCCTGTCTGGTCTCCCTGCCCCCAGTTTTGCCCTGCCCTCTCCTTTCTGTTCCTACCATACATATATATGACTTTGCCATTTTCTGTTAAAAATCCTTCTATGACCCCACAACAACTTTCTCTTGATATGATGTCTTGACACTTGTATGGCTTCACATGCTGTTTATCTGCCTGGAAAACCCTTAACTGAATCCCTTTTGCCTTGCAAACTCCTTGCAAAATCATTTAATGTGTAGCTGTTCAAAGATGTAAAAACCATTCTTAGCTTGTAGTGTAGTTTAGTCCTTGAGAGCCAAATTTGGCCTATGAGTTGCAGTATGCTAACCCCTTGCCATAAAGGATGAGTAGAGAGGGTCCACACTGAGGGGAAAGGCCAGGGAGATAAGCCGTGGCTGATCATGGAGGGCTAAAATGGCAGTCAGAAAATCTAGGACTTGACTGTGGAATCAATGGTGAACTATCAAAGAGCTTTAAGCAGGGAAGGGACATGATCTGATTTGTGTTTTATAAAGGTTCAGCTAGTGCAGTAGCAAAGGAAGTCTTTATTCATCTGAACTATAAAAACTCTATCCATCCAGTCACTATCTTCTGATCCCAACATGTGAGCGTCTCAGGTGGATTCCAACACCATCTCTTTTTCCAAATGAGGAATTCTTGGAAAGAGGTAACCCTCAGGACTATAAGCTCTTATATCTTTCTGCAAGAGCAAGAGGCCTTGGATTTGTGAGAACGTTCCTAGGGGACAACTTTCCTTATCCCTTCCAATGAAAATAAAAGGGCCATTTGTAACCAATGGAACAGGGCCCATGAAGAACATTCTCTGTGCCTCTGCAGACCCATTTCTGCCTGGGTCTCCTGATGACAATTGTTATTTATCTGACCTTCTCTTCCACATCATTCCAACTCCCACACTTAGTTCCAAAACAGGTCTTAAATCACTCAGGAGCCAAGCCAGGCTGAAAAAGGAAGTAACCATGGCCAGGCCAGTGTTTCAGCACTCTCTGCAGACATCAAAACAAAGACAGGGTAAAGTCCGAAGAAATCACCTGCAAAAAAATCAAAGCAAGATGTTGGCATCTTCTTCAGGGATTGTCCCAAATTAAGATGGAAATGTCTGTGCATAAAACAGGCAAGGGAGTCAGAAGTCTTTCCAGGGGAGGCCTTGGTAGCTAAATCAGATGATGACAATTGCTGGATATTACAAATTTGTGCATGAGTTAAATGAGTATCTGCTTTTGGATGCCAGTGAGACCACCTTAAGAATGTCAGCTTAATACTGGCCTCTGGGGAGGCCATACCCACTTTACTGCCAATATTAACTCTCCTCTATACCCTTCCCTCCAAGCAAACAACCTTGATTCTGACTGTACTGACTTGCTGAGGTTGTGGTAATTCTACTTTGCTATTATCATGCTGTGTCTACCTTCATGCTGTAGTGCTGGTGTGAGATCTACTCTGTTAGCTCCAGGCTAGAAGAAGGTCAAATTAGTCACTCAAATACTAAGTCTTCAATGCATCAGCACCACCTCTCCCATGCCACTATCCTTTATTCAGGTAAAGTGACATCCTCAGCATTCTATAATAATCTTCTTGGGATAATGTCACCAAGGAGGGACAAAGCTTTTGGTTTCATGAGTTCTATTTAGGATTGAGCTTTAGAAACATGGTTCAAATGGATCAGATAACTTGAAGTTGGCAGGCTTTCAAAATTTTTAAATTATCTTAGGAAAGTCATCATGAAAAGTGCCTACAGTTGTCCCAGAATAATCTTTCCAATATTCTGATGGCCAAATATTTCAGATAAAATATCCCAACAAGTTGCTGGGTTCCTAAGGATCTTATAGTCCAGACCTCATGTTTATTAAAAAGAAAACTGTGAATATAGCAAATTATCCCACCAAACACCTGGGTATTTTGATGGCCTGCAGAGAACACATTTATTTTCTGCTGTAGCAAGAATCTGCCTGACCATCTTTAAAAAGAAGACCTTGGCTGACAGGGTTCATTTGGTGCTTCTCAGAATAGGATAGCTTTGGGGCAGGTAGAGGTATTATAGGATATTTGTGAAGGATTATTTCTGGATTGCTAAACTACTTAGTGACCTATTTTGAGGTTATCCAGTTAAGACTGGGGTACTATTTAAGAGGAAGAGGAAGCTCCAGGAGTAGTAATAACCCCAACATCCCCACCACCACTGCCTTTCACCTTTGGAGAATTGGTAAAGGAAGGCTGTGACCAAGTATTTAGAGTTCTGCCTTCACAAGATTCCATTAAGTCCTTATCTTATGCAAAAAGTCAGCTTTGAGGGCCTGGGATTAAATTATATTAGGGCAAAAATGAAGAGGAAAGGGACCCTACAAATCTCACTACCAAAGGCTTGTATATATGACAAACCAGGCGCCCAACT
This sequence comes from Homo sapiens, assembly GCF_000001405.40. Classification (NCBI taxonomy): domain Eukaryota; kingdom Metazoa; phylum Chordata; class Mammalia; order Primates; family Hominidae; genus Homo; species Homo sapiens. Next base: position 107,067,368 of record NC_000009.12, read on the forward strand.
CACAAATCAGAACCGCTGGCCTTAAGCAATCATTTGCAAGGTTGGGGTATATGTGTAGAGGGTCACTGGGTGTGCCATCTCAAAGTGGGAAAACCACCTGCTTACACATCCACTGCCTGGAGGAGCAAGGAGCCCGCACCCAGGAAATACACAGGTGGGGACTAATTGCTTCATCCACTATAGCAGGCTTATTCCACTATCCAAAGTCACCCAGATTATAGGAGAGAGGGTGTTTTTACTATGTAGGTGTCCTTTCAGAATTCACCCAGATGATGTGAAAATTCTGAAAATAGTATTAAAAGAAAAACTTTAGAATAATCCGATGTAACAGAGTTTAATTGAATGAAGATCAGCTCACCAACTGGGCAGTCTTAAGGGCCAGAATAGGTTCAGAGCAACTCCAGGGATGCTGCTTGGTTGGGTAACATTTACAGACCAAAAAAGGAAAGTGACATACAGAACACAGAAGCAAGGTACAGAAACAGCAGGGTTAGGTACAGGTTGGCGTTTGCCTTATCTGAACACTGTTTAAACATTTGGCTGCCTGTAATGGACTGAAACTCGGCTGCAGTGATTGGCTGAGACTCGCTACCTGTTATGAGAGTACGTTACACTCTGTGTACACAGCAAGTCAGGTTACAGTTTAATATGTATGAAGAAACCTTTAAGCCAATATTAAAATATGTATGGATGCAGCTTTAGGCCAAACTTAATTTAATAGCAATTTACTGTGAGAAGGCCCCAGTCTAATGGAAGTGTGCAAGTCTAATAAAACTCCACTTGCGAAGCTTGTGCCTGGATCCTTTGGTCTCCCTGACTGAGGCAGGTATCAAATGTCTTAAGTTCCTCTTGCAGAGTAGGTCCGGGCTTCTGCTGGGCTGACTCAACTTTGTTGGGCTATTCTCCTGAGGCAGTTCTCATGACCAGATCTCTGACAATCAATTATTTCACTGGATCACTATGACTTCCCTGGGGCCAATCATTCCCTGCACCTTGTACACAAGCAAGGGTCCAACTCTGCCTGGTATGACTAGGTGAGTACTTCTTGGGGGTCAGCTCTTTGGTGCCTATTGTGTAATCTGAAGCTCTGCAGAAGCACTAGGTCTTCTTCAGGTGTCTCAGGTGTAACCTGAACGAGGATCATAACCAAGAGCCCTTGTTAGACTAAGGCACTAACCCCAACCCCACAGACTGGCCAGGGCAGATGGGACCATTTGGTGAGCGGGGTCATCACTTAGCTTTGCAACATTTTCTTCCCTGGAATGAATGCCATCAACACCCTACCTGCAGTTCTAGACCTTACAAGACAGAAATCTAGCCATTGCCTGTGGGCACCTCCCAGCTAAACCACCACACACTCATAAACTCATAAAGGGACACTGTGTTATCTCTCTGTATGGGAAAGAAGCTGAACTTTGGACCTGGTCAGGCTCACTCAAATATCCTTGAGCTTGGGGTGGAGAGAGGAGACATGCCTCTGACACCCCATTAACATGAGAAAGTAGATTCAGAGCAGGGGAGTTATGCTGTTCAACAATAGTGGCAAGCATTCATCACGTGTTTACTATGGTGCAGGCATTGTTTAAGTACTTTGCATGTATGAAATCATTTAAGCCTTCTGATAATCAGCCAAGGTACATAATGTTTTCGTTCCTTTCTTTTTTTTTCCTTTGTTTTGAGATGGAATCTCACTCTGTCACCCAGGCTGGATTGCAGTGGTGTGATCTCGGCTTACTGCAACCTTCGTTTTCCAGGTTCAAGTGATTCTCCTGCCTCAGCCTCCCAAGTAGCTGGGACTACAGGCGCGTGCTACCACACCCAGCTAATTTTGGTATATTTATTTTATTTTATTTTATTTTGAGAGGGAGTCTCCCTCTGTCTCCAGGCTGGAGCGCAGTGGTGTGATCTCTGCTCACTGCAACCTCTACCTCCCTGGTTCAAGCAATTCTCTCTGCCTTAGCCTCCCAAGTAGCTAGGATTACAGGCACACACCACCACACCCAGCTACTTTTTGTATTTTTAGTAGACATGGGGTTTCATCATATCGGACAGGATGGTCTCGATCTCCTGACCTCACGATCCACCCACCTCGGCCTCCCAAAGTGCTGGGATTACAGGCATGAGCCACTGCACCCACCCTTGTATATTTATTAATAGTAGAGATGAGTTTCACCATGTTGGCCAGGCTGGTCTTGAACTCCTGACCTCAAGTGATCCACTTGCCTTGGCCTCCCAAAGTGCTGAGATTACAGGCACGAGCTGTCATGCTGGGTCTGTTTTCATTCTATGTATGAGAAAAATGAAGCACAGAGAAGTGAAGGGGTTTGATGCACATATTAAGTGGCTGAATGGGGAATCAAACCCAGGCTGCTGGCTCCTGAACCCGAGTCTAACCTTTATTCCCCTCCTAGGACTGTATTTCACATTCTATAATTTAATCCTTCCAGGTACCCTGAAAGCTTTACTAGCCCATTTTATGGACAAGAAATTGAGTTTCAGAGAGGCTAAAACATTTTTCCAAAAATCACAGTGTTAGCCAAACAGGGATTTCAGTCCCTGCCTCCAAGGCCCACATTTTGACCCCATATATGACACTCTGTAGGTTTGTTTTCCAGAAGCTTTTTTTTTTTTTTTTGGTCAGCTTTTAAAATGACTTTAAAAGTTTATTCAACAGAAGTAATTTCATTACTATTTCGGGGAGGGAATCACCAACTTTTTGGTGCAAACAATGCTAGCCTTCTTTTAAGCATTAAGAGCACGACTTCTTAAGAAATGACATAAGCAATAATTCGACACCTCCGTCTCCCCTAAAATAATATATTTTATTAATGTGTGCACAGCTTTAGCAAATTAGCCTGAGATAAATGATAGAGTTCCACTATCCAGAGGCAAAAGCAGGGTCTATTAGAACTCATCATTGCATTTTCCAGAAGTTTTAAAGCCTATGAGGTGGGAGAGCCATTCAGAGAGGATTAAAAAATAGATATTTGGAGAGTAATTAAATTAATATGTATTTTTCTCACATTGTCGATTTGAAGTTACATCATGTGGGGTTTGGAACACAGAAATATATTACGTGTTACTTGGTTTGCAAATAAAATGTCCATGCCTTGTTCATTTAATGACATGAAAGCCTAGAAAAGGATGGAAACAAACTGGGACCAGTAAAAAAATAAACAAACAAAAAGACCCTTAGGGATTTAGAAAAACAAACAAACATGTTTTTCAGTACTTTTTAAAATTGTCATGGTTTCTCTTCCTTGGTTATTGTAGAGCTCTCCTGCAGTCACACACAATTTGCAATTGACCATTTGGGAGAAAGTATTTTGGCCCAATTGTGTAGTCTCTCTGTCCCATCCACAAAGGGTGGCACAGTCCAGAGGGCTGCTGCCATTCATCAAACGGGCTCAGCTTTTAGACTCAGCTTTTAGAGCCACCCCATGGGGAAGGGCAATTGTTCCTCATGGTCCCAAGGGAGGACATCAGTTTGGCTGTGACAGTCCCCCAATCACATGCATAATTGTTCCAGGGGAAGTATTACAGGACCAACAAAAAGAAATCTGTGCTGTATTATTTTGTAGGTTCCAACTGGTTGGATATGAAACAAAACAAAAAAGAAATTACATACTTGATGCAAAATTGGAACATTTAACATTTCTATTTCTTTTAGACATTTTAATCTGTTCCTCCATGAGGATAGCTAATGGTTGTCTAAAAGCTTTTGCCACTTTTCGACTGCATTTTAAGATGGCTATTTTCTCTAGCTGGTCCTTCCAACAAAACCATGTTCGTTTTGTTCTTAGGATTTATTTCCAAGGATACAGTTCTTAGAGTAATTTAGGAATTATCCAAAGAATTATTAAAGGATTTAAGAATCTTAATATAGCAGTATTAATTTACTAAAGGATCCTTCAGGAAATGTTTCTGAATGTCTGATGGTGAGGAAAATCTTAGAAAAAATTATTGAAGCCATGGAGAAATATGATGCTACTGTGATAAGTATGTCTTTTTATATAAAAATGTATATATATATGTATATTACATTTATATCAGGCAAATTCCTTTGATAGTATTATGCTAATACTTTTCCCAAAACATATTATTTTCATCATCATGAAGAGATACATGATGTGTAGGCTGATCTGCAAGGAAGGATAATATGCTTGTTGATGAATGCCTTTTCTATTTACAGTTCTATTCTTAAAGCTAATTAAATTCAACTTTGATCTCAGCTTAATAAGAAGAACTATTTGGATTTCAAAAGTAATATTTAATATCAGAAAGCCAGTCCTCTCAGTATTTCCTTGTGTTAGCAAGTGGTGAATGAGCCAGATGGTATTAATTAAACAACCAACCTTGAGCGCAGAAGAGTACACAAAATCTCAATCAGTGACTTTAAAGATTCTTCTCCCTCCTTGGGCACATTAAGTTTTCATCTACAACATCTGAGGAACATCATCTGCTTTGCTCATATATCGCCCCAATAATGAGTTGAAAATAGAATTCCTCCTCCGTAAAGCATTTCTATAATTTGTAGGAAAATGCTGTGAAAGCTATGTATGTAAGAGCAAGAGTTCAAAAGTCATGATCAAGTGCAGAAGGGGACTCCTCCCTTGCTTGCTACAATGGTGGGTCTATGAACTGGCCAACCTTTCCTTTCACTGAGACCCTGGGGGTATTTTGGAGGTAGCAACTGGGGTGGAGCTGACCTGTGGGAAAGGAAAATGGTCACCTTGTCATTGGTGCAAAGGATAGAAAAGAAGGACCCCTTGTGATTGGGCAATAGAAAAAGGAGTGAGATAAAGAAAGATGTCTGAACTTGGGATTCCAAGCTGAATGCTGTTCAATGGATGGTGCAAACCTTCTCCACGTTCCTTATACAGTCTCCAGTGAAATCCATATTGTTCATAAATGCTGTTGTACAATTTAATTCTATAGGATAGTTCAGAGAAGAGAACAGGAAAGAACTGATGTCCTGGTTACATTCTCATGGAACCAATATAAGTAGTGGTAAGAACCCCAAAAATCTACAGTTCTGAAAATGAGTTGAAAAGTTGCGAATGGTGTTTTGCTTTTAGAAGTGAGTGACAGAGTATTGACCCAGATTGCTTTCTGTGTAACCTAAGAGAAGGATCTACTTGAGAGTGTAAATAGTAGGAAAATAATAAGAAGACACTAAATATGCAGGCTCCGAAATGAATGACCTATGTTAGAATTAAATAATTTACTAGAAATGTGACCACAAGCAAATCACTTTACATCTTTGGAATTCATTTTCCCAGGTGTGCAATAAAAAGCTTTGCCTAAATCAGCAATGAACAAACTCTTGGCCTGAAGAATGCATTGGCCCACCTAGTTACACATATAATCTAATTTGTGTGTGAATTTATGACAGCAAATATTATCTTTGATATAATTTAAGCATGAAGTTAGAAATTAGAAAGTTGCTTCTTTTTTTTATTATTATTTTTTATTTTTTGAGACAGAGTCTTGCTCTGTTGCCCAGACTGGAGTGCAGTGGCAAGATCCCAGCTCACTGCAAGCTCTGCCTCCTGGGTTCATGCCATTCTCCTGCCTCAGCCTCCCAAGTAGCTGGGACTACAGGCGCCCGCCACCACACCCGGCTAAGTTTTTGTATTTTTAGTGGAGACAGGATTTCACCATGTTAGCCAGGATGGTCTCGATCTCCTGACCTCATGATCCGCCCGCCTTGGCCTCCCAAAGTGCTGGGATTACAGGCGTGAGCCACCGCGCCTTGTTGAAAGTGGCTTCTTTATTGCAATTTCCAGAGTATTCCCAGAAATTAACACTTCAATGACTAAAAGGCAGTGCCACATTTTTCTACGTGGTTTTCTAAGCTAAAATATAACAGGTATCAAATTATTAGAGTATGCATTTTTCCACAGGAATCAATAAAGCTATTTTTTTTCATTTTGTCTGATAGAAAATGGGTCATATATACTTTTTTGAGGGGAGAGATAGTGCAAAAGAAAAACTTTGCTGTCACTGGGTAGAATATTTCTAACTCTTTTGGAAATAACAGTTAAGGCTCCTCAGAGTGGACTTTGTAGGTGACTAGTAAATCTCAATTGGCCTACAGTAAGTAATTCTGTATTATAACTAGAAATCAGAGGCTCACAACTAAATTGCTTGGAAAAATTGTTCTTTTTAAATTCTGTTAACTGTAAAGAAATGATAAAAACAAATGAATCAGTTGCTTCCCTGATATTTATTATTATTTAGGGTGACAGGAAGAGGGGAAATTGGGGCTGCTGACTTGCTCCTTTGTTCTACTTTTACTGTTGAAGACTCTCTTGTTCTGTGAACTTTCCTTTTGGATTCCAAGCCTCATTTGTAATTAAATCTCTAAAGAATAGAAAATCAAGAAGCAAGTTGCCACCCAAGAAAATACAACTGGTTTAACAATAAATTTCCAATTGTTTTCCCTGCTTCTGTATTTTTGTGCCTCTAATTCATATTAAACCCAGCCACCATAATACTCTACTCAAAGCCCAGCTCTGCTCACATTGCACTCCTGCTCAGAAACCTTCAGAGTCTCCTCAGCATTTGGAAAAGCAAACCTGTAATTTTTAGCCTGACCTTTGATGCCACCTGCCATTATAGAATGAAGGCTCTCATTAAACTTCCCTAGGCCTTGATTGCCCCCTTCTCTGCATTTTATTCAATCTCTTCCTCCTAACTAGATGACCAGCCCTCTGTGCCCCCATGTTCCCAGAAGTCCATTGAGGTACCCTTCTTTTCTGGACATTTTTCTGGAGAGTTAGAATCATAGGTACTCTTGGCGTATTTTGTATCTCATAGATGAAGTTGAATCGTTCTTCCTTTTAATAGATTTAATTATTTGCATCTTATTACCCTTTCAAGACTATAAGCTTCCTAAAACATGTAACTCATTCTCATTCATCTCATGCTAAACTCACATTCTTTCCAATACTCCAAACTGCATCTTTCCTTTAGAGAAGTGGCTAAACTAGCTATATTGGTAGTATGTCTCCTTGAAATGGAAACATTTCATTGGTTTTGTCATAGCTTCTTCACACATAGGTAGCCTTTAAATTCTGCCTCCTGTCACCCATTAAAGAAAGACTGTCAGTCATTCTTTTATGAGTCCTTGCCTGTAATGGCAAGACTCCCTCCTACACACACACACACACACACACACACACACACACACACACAGGCATGCGCACACACATGCACACACACATACCCCTTAATGAGGTTGGTGTACAGTCAGAATGCTCTGTAAAGATGATTGATATCAGCCAATCCCTCTTAGCCAATCAAATGTATTTGCAACCCAGAAACGGTTAGTGGGGATCCCCTTCTCCTTGGCACTTGTATTAGTTTATTGAGGCTGCTGTAACAAATTACTACAAATGGAGTGACTTAAAACAGCAGAAATTTATTCTCTCACATTTCAGGAGCCCAGAAGACTGAAATCAGAGTGTTGGCATGTCCTGTCTCTGAAGGCTGCAGCAGAGCCCTTCTTTGCCTCTTCCTTGCTTCTGGTGACTGTGGGCAACCCCCAGTGTTCCCTGGCTGTAGGTGCCTCACTCCAATCCTCCCTCTTCACATGGTGAGCTCTCTGAGTGTCTCCTTTCCCCCATGTCCCTTTTCTTCTATAAGGACACCAGGCATGTTGGATTAAGATCCACCCTAACCCAGTATGACCTCATTTTAACTTGATTACATCTGCAAAGACCCTGTTCCAAAAAAGGTCAGATACACAGGTACTGGGAGTTGGGACTTAAACATCTTTTGCGGTAGGGCACAATTCAACCCACAACTCTCCCGGTACAGCTTACTCACAGAGTCACATAACGCCACCCTTCATGCACTGCAGATGAGTACCCCAGCTTACACCTCCTCTCCACTTTCCCACTCAGAGACAACAATAACCCCAAAACTCTTATAAAAGAAATGATAGTGGCCAGGGGCAATGACCCAGGCCTGTAATCTCACCACTTTGGGAGGCCAAGGCAGGCAGATCACTTGAGGTCAGGCGTTTGAGACCAGCCTGGCCAACATGGTAAAACCCTGTCTCTACTAAAAATACAAAAATTAGCTGGGCATGGTGGCACGTGACTGTAATCCTAGCTACTTGGGAGGCTGAGGCATGAGAATTGCTTGAGCCTGGGAGGCAGAGGTTGCAGTGAGCCAAGACTGTACCATTGTACTCCAGACTGGGTGACAGAGCAAGACTCTGTCTCAAAAAAAAAAAAAAAAAATTACAGTTCCTTTTTTCAAATTGAGCTACAACTTATTATTATTATTATCATTATTATTATTATTATTACTTTTTGAGACGCAGTCTCACTCTATCGCCCAGGCTGGAGTGCAATGGTGCAATCTTGGCTCACTGCAACCTCCGCCTCCCAAGTTCAAGTGATTCTCCTGCCTTAACCTCCCAAGTAGCTGGGATTACAGGTGCCCCCCATGACACCCAGCTAATTTTTGTATTTTTAGTAGAGATAGTGTTTCACCATGTTGGGCAGGCTGGTCGCGAACTCCTGATCTCAGGTGATCCACCCTCCTCAGCCTCCCAAAGTGCTGGGATTACAGACGTGAGTGTACCTGGCCTAATTATTATTTGTAATTGTGGTTCCTAATACAGGTGCCAATATATATATAACATAAAATACCCCACTTTAACCATTTTTAAAGGTACAGTTCAATGACATTAAGTACATCCACATTGTTGTTCAATCACCACCATCACATAAAACTGAAACTCTGTCCCCATAAACAATAACACCGATTCTTCACTCCCTTGATGGTTCTTCTAAGTATAGAATTTATCGTGGATAATTAATGATTCAGTTGCTCTAAACCAAGGTTTTAATTTCATTGTATATAATATATAACCATGATATTTATAACCATTACATATACATATATAAGAACTATTTATGTATATACAAAATATACTTTCACATGAGGTACACATGTAATATACATATGTATGTAATGTATATATAATGTCTATACACATGTAATATACATATGTATGTAATGTATATATAATGTCTATACATATGTAATGTATGTGTACACATAATATACAATAATGTGTATGCATACGTATATATGTATCTGTAATGGTTTTATATATATAATGGTTGTGTGTGTATATATATAATGGAGCTCTCTCTTGCTCTCTCACTCAATTTATATATATATGTGTTAGCAGTGAAAACAATGGTATTAGTGAAAAAGTATCCATTGTAGATAGGTGTAATAAGCTAGTCTGGTGCAATTGAGGAAAGTTTTATGCTGCTTGTCCCAGAATGTGACCCAATTCCCTTATTTAACTGATGAAATTATTGCCTAAGCAAAAGTGACTAGGGAATGTTTGTGATAAATCCTTGTGGGAAGGTGTTGCTGGCCCCATTTGAAAGTGCATTCAAATCAATGATATAAACATTTGTTCATAGCCCTTACCTGTGCCAGACACTGCTGTAAGTACTCGGACACAGAAATAAATACTACAGCATTAGCTCTTAAGAGTTCAAGTCTACAGTAGACGTAGAAATTTAATAGAGGAAATATTTCTGAAAGCACATCTTTACTTTAAAAACTACAGCTTTTCTCGCCTTACATGCCTTTTTTTTTTTAAAGGACGGTACAGCCTTCAATTGGTCAATACCTTCCTTGTCTTCACTCCTGCTGTTAGTCTCTGATCCCTGATATTCCACCTTCTAAACACTTTTCAATGGGGATTGGCTTTGCGAAGAAGGATGAGATGCTGGTGGGCATTGAGGAAATACTAGAAAATATAGGTCTAAAGTTCAGGAGGGTTCTGTGTTGGAAAGTAGAAGTGGCCAGAGGACATCTGGTAAATACTGTTCCTCAAGAGTATCACATCTGGTACTTCTGCACCACCTCGAAGCTTTTCCTGGCCAGGAGAAGTAATTGTGCCCCTTCATGAAAGTATATTGCCCAGAAGACTGTAGTACATGCTTTTCTAGAAAGCTCTTAGGCATCCTGACTCTTCTCTTTCTCCGTCTATTTTTAAATGTTGGTACTGTATTCTGCCCTGGGTCTTCTTTTATGGTCACTTTATATTGTCTTCCTGGACCATCTCATGGAATCACATGGCTTCAACTGCCACATACAATCTGATGACTAAAGTTTTTAACTCCCAACACAGACTTCATTCCTCAGCCTTAGAATCACATACACAATTGCCACATTTTCACTTAGATGTTGTAGTGGTATATTTCTCAAACATGTCCAAAAATTACCTATATCCCACTTCCAAATTTTATCTCATGTTCATTCATTCTCTCTCTCTCTCTCCCCCAGTCCCCCTCTCCCACTTTCTCCCTGCCTCTCCTCTCCCTCTCTCTCCCTCTCTCTCTCCCTCTCTTTCTCCCTCTCTCTCTCCCTCTCTCTCTCTCGTGTGTGTGTGTGTGTGTGTGAAAGAGAGAGAGAGAGTTGAATTGCACTAACATCCACCCGTTTTTTCCTCTCTCCATGAGTGAGGCATAGCAGAGGGTGCAACATTAATCAAGCTGTGAGATTCGTAATGCTTTTGGAATTGCATTGTCTGAAATTTTAGGATATATAAGAACATATTAAAGATTAATAGCATAAGACTGGGTGCAGTGGCTCACACCTGTAGTCCCATCTACTCAGGAGGCTGAGGTGGGACGATCACTTGAGCCCATGAGTTTGAGGCTGCAATGAGCCATGATGGCACCACTGCATTCCAGCCTGGGCAACAGAATGAGTCTCCAAAGGAAAAAAATATATATATATATATTAACAGCATAATCTTCAATTCCTGTGACCTTTATGTTGTGTGATAAGACCTGGTCATGAAGGAGCCGTTTCTGATGATTTGGGACAACTCCAGAAGTCACACCCATGTTATCAGTCTACTATACAGTGCTAGGCACATGAGCACTATCTCAGGTGGCAAAAAGGCTAGTGCAGAGAGGCAGGATGGGCCACACTGAGCTAAAGAAGTTGATCAAAGAGGAAAATGAAGACCTCTAGAGTCCTTACTAAAGGCATTGAGATTTTGGTTCACAAACACAGTAAACTGGTGCTAGGTAATGAAAAACCATGTTGAGTATTTTAGTAACTAGTATTACATACTACAAGAAGTACTACCTGCAACAACTGTGAAAGTAAGTAAGTTTGCTCTAAGAATTCAATTCTCAAAATTTTAGCACAATGTTTTACATTATAAAAGAGGTAACCCCACTGGTAATCAGGCCAGGTTCTAAGACATTTGGTTTAATCGGAGACATTTTCCTCTCCACCCGAAAAGCTGGGGCCTCAGTATCCCAAAAAGCTCTGTTATATGTAATGAAGGCTCATGAAATCATAGATTCATACAAAGTAGAGCAAAAGTGAGAGATGACCCACTACCACGAAAGCTCAATCTGGCACTTCAAATCTTGTCAGTTGAGTTTAATGGGTCTGGAGTTTTCTTTTGGAATGATAAAAATACTTTAGAACTAGATAGAGGTGCTGGCTGCACAACATTGTGAGTGTACTAAATGCCACCGAATTGCTCACTTTCAGATGGTTAATTTTATGTTATATGAATTTCACCTCCATTAATTTTTAGAAATCTCATCAGTTAATAGTAGCTGAATAGTAGCTGAACCCTTCCCACTGCCCCATCAACTTCCTATTTCTTTTGCAATTAATTCCACACTCATTAGTATGTATTATAAGACTCTACAAATCTGAACCTGCCTACTTCTCTCACCTCTCTTATTACCCTGCATGCTGGGCATGCAGCTTTTGCTTTCTTCAACACAACAAGTTTGTTCTCACTCCAGGGCCTTAGCACTTGCTGTTCCTCTCCCCTGAATGCCCTTTCCTTCGGTGTGCAAGGTGATTATTTTCTTATGCAAGTCTCAGTTCAAAGCCACTTCCTCAGGGACATCTTCCCTGATGACTGTATCTCCTTAGGCACTATCATACCACCTGAGTCTGTTTCCTTTACAGCACTTATACTATATGAAGTTATATTTTCTTTTCATTTTTACTGGTTTAATGTCTGTTTCTTGCCACTAAAAAATAAATTTTATGAGAAGAATCTTACAGATTTTGTTTATTACTCCATCCCCACTGCCTGGCACATGAAGTCATTTAAAGATAATTTTGCTTGAAAGAATGAAAAGGGAAAGGAAGGAAGGCAGGGAAGGAAAGAGAGGGGAGGGGAAGGGGAGGGAAGGGGAGGGAAAAGGGAGAGGGAAGGGGAGGGGGAAGGGAAGGGGAAGGAAGGGGAGGGGAAGGAAGGGGAGGGGAAGGAAGGGAGGGGAGGGGAAGGGAAGGAAAGGAAAGGGGAGGGTAGAGGAAGGGAGAGAGGGAATAGAGGGGAGAGAGGAAGGGAGAGAGGGAAGATTGCTAAGTCATATGCAGGCTGGACTAGGTGAGAATTCTGTGACTGGTTAGCATTATCTGCCATGAGTGTAGAACAGGACAGATGTGGGATAAGGACGGTAGTATACTGGCAAATGTTTAACTAGTACTAGTAACTAGTTCTGAGGGTTGATGGCAGTGGGGAGGTGACATCCTGATTTGTAGCATTTATCAATTTATGTGGTGTAAACATTCTCACATGGCTGATTTCAAGCAAGCACTAAGTTGTGAACTAGCTCACAAAATTTCTAAAAATTTAACAATTAGTTCTCATGAGCTAGTACAAGGAAATTCTAGCACACCACTGGTATAAATGGCATGCATTTGCTGCCCTGGAGATAGTCCTACATTTTCCTTTTACAGAGAGAGAACCTGAAGTCCAGAGAGAAAAAAACTGGATCAAGATTTTACAACAAGTCTGAAGCACAGGCCGGTTCCTTGGTTAAAGGCTATTTTTCTTCATAAAGACCTTTACATGCTGTCAAAAGAGAAGCACCAAGAGGCATACAACAAGTTTGTGCCTCAAAAGAGTTTATTAGGAGCTGTGTGGCTGTGCAACAAAGCCTTCTGGCAAGGACCCAAGCAGGTTGACAAACTCCTTGTTTGCCAAGAGTTTGGCTACCCGAAAAGATTTTCAATACATTTATTTTGCTTGGGGAATGCTCTGCTGTGAACTGTCAGCATTTTTTCCCTCTGAACTAGAGTTGTTTCTTCAAGCCACATGGACCTGAACAAAAGGCTAAGGAACTGACCGGTTATAAATCCAACTTTTATATCTCAAGAAGTGTGTCTTTTCCATAGGTGACCTCTTAAATTCTCAATTAAATTCTGTTTGGAATTACAAAAAACAGATTTTAAGGGTATCCCTAAATTTTACTTCTTGAGAGGGTAAGCAACTGACCAGTTATAAATCCAACTCTTAGATCTCAAGAAGTAAAATTTAGGGACACCCTTAAAATTTGTTTTTTGTGATTCAAAACAGAATTTAATTGAGAATTTAAGAGATCATCTATGGAAAAGACAGACATGCACACACACAGGAAAAAATAAAATCAATTTACCTCCTGCAGCTGTGTGCACTATCAACGTATGTCCCCTTCTATTCTAACACTGAACATACTGAATTCATTTCCCAGGGATGTTCCTGCAATAGACTGTAGGCTCTTTGAGGGCAGGGCATTTTTCTTACTCATCTTTGTTTCCTTCCTCAGTTTGAGCTCTCAAAACCTCTCAAACATTTCACACATAGTCTAATTTGCTGGACAGAAAATCATAAAACCCTCTGATTAAGCAGAAGGAAAGAGGAGATGAAAGACTGAGTCTAGCCTCAGCTGTCTCACTGATTGCTAGGAATTCCAACAAACCATTTCATTTCTTAGACCCTCAGTCTTCTCACCTGTAAAATGAGCTGGTTGGACTACAGAATCACCAAGGTCTCTTTCTCTCATGTCTCTAAAAATCTTGGATTCTAGAACAGTTTTCCGATTGCTTCATTACAGTTCCTGAGATGTGTGCTCTAATTTTATGTAAATGTGTGTATTTTAGATATGCTTATTAAATATTTAGTCAGTATTGTTTTCTTTTGAGACTTAAGGCCATTGACTAAATTTTTGTTTCTTAAATTTTTCCTAAAAGCAAAATGAGTGAGCCCCATTTACATGGGTAAAACTGAATTAATAACCTTGACATAATGAAAGGCACATGGTCTTTGAAGCCAGGTGGAGTTGTACTCTTAATACTGCTCCTCTCCATACTAGCTGTGTAACATTGACCAAATTACTTCATCTCTCTGAGCTTTGCAGCCCTCACTTATAAAGAGGGACTATTAACTTCTTTACACAGTTGTATGAGAAGTAAAGAAAGACAGGTGCAATGCCCAGCACTCAGTAGTCAGTCCACAAATATTTACTTCTGCTTTCCTTCTTTCCTCCACATCTAGTTTAAGAATTTATACAAAAGCAAAAGAGATAATGCCTTTGAAATATTTTTGAGTCATTAATTATATCTAACATTTGGATTAGATTTGCATGAGATAAAAGGTTACAGAAATTCCCCCAAATAAGGCTGGAAGTTTGCTCTACTGACAAACAATGTTCTTTTCTTGGATGCTGAAATTGATTTATCTATTAACAAATTTATCAGTACTTCCTCCATCCAAGAGGCATATCTGTAAAATGGAAAGATTTGTAGCTTAAAACAAAAAATAAAGAAAACAAGTGGAGAAATGGTCATGCATGGCTGCATCTGTGCCCTTTGAACAGGACTGATGTGTGGAAAAATACGCAGAGCAGGAATGATCTAAGGCGATGCCGTTATTTGGGTAGAATCTGGTCTTTGCTACAGTTTGCTTCAAGATCACCAGTTAGAAACTCTATTATTAAAAACTTGCTTTATTGAAGACATACTTAAACGAATGAAAAGAAAACCCATAGACTAGGAGAAAATATTTGCAAATCACATATTTCATAAAGGACTTATATTCAGATTATATAAAGAAAGAAACTCTTAAAACTGAATAATAAATTCCTAATTTCAAAAAAAGAATCAGAAGTCTTTGTCCTTTTAAAGGTTCTGTTCCATGTAATTTAAAAATTATTACACAGTTCATTATGAATTATAGAAAAATTATAAGAAAACTAAACAAAACATGTTATCTTTAACGTGTTATATTTACTTATAATTTTCCTGTGGATTTACATAGCACTAAATTTACTTCAATGAGATTGAACTAAACATAATGTTTAATAACTTGCCTTTCCACACTTAATTATAAACAATTTTTCCATATCAATAGATCTTATAAATGTTTTGGCTGCTTATTATATGCCATGTGGGTGTACAAATATTTAACCAACCCTCATTATAGATCATTTTAGTTTTTTCAGTACTGAACAAACCCACAGAACTATTCTGAAAGAAATTAGCCTTATCCTGAACAGACAGTCTTTGAAAAAATGTGGACAGAAACAGGTTACAATTAAAATAAGTTTTGAAATTCCATTCTTCTAAGCTTATGGCACGCTTCTCAATTGTAGTGTAAATGAGAGAAGGGCTAAGGGAATTTCTGCAGCTGCCAAAAATTTTGAAAAAAAACTAATTTTGATGATTAGACTTTTTCTCTTTTTTAATGTCACAGACCAAAGTTTGGCCAAGTCCAGCCCACTCTAGTTTTGTACAACCTGAGAGCTAAGAATGTTTTTTTTACATGTTTAAATGGTTGAAAAATAAAACAGAATAATAATATTTTATGACACATGTAAATTGTATAAAATTCAGATTTTAGTGTCCATGAATAATAAGGTTTTATTGGAACACAACTGTGTTCAGTCATTTACATATTATCTGTGGCTATTTTGGTGCTCCAATAATAGAGCTGAGTAGATGTGACAAATACTCTGTGGCCTGTAGCGCCTGAAATATTTACTGTCTGGCTTTTTTATATAAAAATTTTGCCAATGCCTGCCAGAGACTATTTTATAGTTAAAACTGAATCTCTTTTGTTCTCAATTATATCTACCTAGTCATTACAAACCTGGAGCTTTATAATAATGTTTAAGCTTGGGAGAATCTTGGGTTTGTGTACCTGCCCTGTCACTGATGACTTTGTGTAACTCATTTTTCCTCTTCAGGCTGCAGTTTCCCAATCTGTAAAATAGGCAGATTGCACTAGATTTCTAAGACGCTCCATTTATTTATCCATATGACAAACACTTTCTTAGTGCCCACTACCTGCCAGTCCCCATGCTAGCTCTGGAATTTACTGATAATGTCTATGAAATGGGACATCATTCTGTGGTTTTCACTGAAACATAAATTACTTCTGACAGGAAAGGAAATGTGGCCAGGCACGGTGGCTCATGCCTGTAATTCCAGCATTTTGAGAGGCTGAGGTAGATGGATCACCTGAGGTCAGGAGTTTGAGACCAGCCTGGCCAATGCGGTGAAACCCCGTCTCTACTAAAACTACAAAAATTAGCTGGGTGTGGTGGTCGGCACCTGTAATCCCATCTACTTGGGAGGTTGAGGTGGGAGAATCACTTGAAACTGGAAGGCAGAGATTGCAGTGAGCTGAGATTGCACCACTGCACTCCAGCCTGGGTGACAGAGTGAGACTCTGCTTCAAAAAAAGAAAAAAAAAAAAAAAAAAAGGAAATGTTAGAGTCTATGGAAAAAAGACCAGCAACAACAAAAAAATACAGAAGGGTCTCCAGAAATAAATGCAGGCAAATGACTTCTCCAAAATTAAATCAACAGTAATTTTAGGAGATTCCAAATTCAGTAACTTTTTCTATAAGAGACTTTAGAGGAAAAAGCTGTATCGTATGCTGGTGCCATCTCCTTTCTTTACTCTTCACCCACTCTGATCTACTAGAAGAGTCTTTCCTGAAAAACATAGTATATATACATAATGGAATACTGTTCAACCTTTAAAAAGAGGGAAATCCTGTTATTTGTGACAACATGGATGAACCTGAAAGACATCATGTTAGTGAAATAAGCCAGGCACAGAAAGACAAATATCACATGACCTCACTCATATGTGACTCTAAAAAAGATGAATCCATAGAAGTAGAGAGTAGAATGGTGGTTACCAGTGGCTGGGGGTACTAGGGTAGGTGGGGAGATCATGGCTGAAGGATACAAAATTTCAGTTAGACACAGGAATAAGTTCGACAGATCTATTGTACATCATGGTGACTATAGTTCATAATATTGTATACTTGAAAATTGCTAAGAGAGTGTATTTTAAGTGTTCCACAAAAAATAAGCATGTGAGGTAATGTACATGTTAATTCACTTGATTTAGTGGTTCCACAGTGTATACATATTTCAAAATATAACAATGTACATCGTAAATACAGGCCATTTTTACTGTCAATTTAAGAGTACTAAATGAAAACACAATCCTAAGATGTCATAACTCAAAGGAATCACCTCATTTGACAGCTAGAGTAACCAAGGTCCAAGGAGGAACTATAGCACTCCCCTTTCTCATGTAACTTTCAGATCTCTTTGACTTTCTAATTCAATAATCATTAATTGAACTCCTGTTGATGTGCACATCTGTGGCTTTGAGTGTCCTGTGTCTGGGGAAAAATTCTGATGGACTTCAAAGCCTAAAGTTTCTGAAACTTCTTTGGCTAATCGTCCAACTCCCTGCACCCAAAGAGGCCCCCTCAGTGTACACCAGCTCAGGTTGACCTCCTCTCCTAGCCACAAGGCTGATCTTTTGTTGACTTCCCAGGCACTGTAAACCAAGAACCTTTTTGATACCATGAACACATCTTTATCACTGTTAATTACTGGGTTGGTACAAAAGTAATAGTGATTTTTGCCATTAAAAGTAATTACTGCACTGGCAAAAAGTAATTTTGCCACTTTTAATGGCAAAAATTGCAATTACTTTTGCACCAACTTAACAACTAACATTTATTGAACATCTATGTTCTAGGCTCTATGTTATATGCATTACTGCATTTAATCCTTATAAAAACTCCAAGGTAAATATTATTAGTTCACTTTCAGATAAAGAAACCAAACTCCAGAAACCTACATAACTTGTTTAAAGTGATTCATTTAGCTTGAGATACACCAGAACTAGAACCTAAATTTGTGACTCTAAAGTCCTTTTTCTTGATACTACACTGCTGTGCGTTTTCATTACGCTCTTTCATTGGAATGCATACTTCTCCCAATTCCTTCAAATTGTCTCCACTTTTTTTTTTTTTTTTTTTTTTTTTTGATATGGAGTCTCACTCTGTCACCCAGGCTGGAGTGCAGTGGCAAGATCTCGGCTCACTGCAGACTCCACCTCCTGGGTTCTAGTGACTGTCTGCCTCAGCCTCCTGGGTAGCTGGCATTATAGGTGTATGCCACCATGCCTGGCTAATTTTTGTATTTTTAGTAGAGATAGGGTTTCACCATGTTGGCCAGGCTGGTCTCCAACTCCTGACCTTAGATGACCCTCCCACCTCGGCCTCACAAAGTACTAGGATTACAGGCAAGAGCCACTGTGCCCGGTCATAAACAGCTTACTTCTAATTACCTTTCACAATTCTTTGCTAAGCCCTTTTATGTTATACTTTGTTTAAAAACAGCTGATTTGCAATAGTCACACAGAAGATCTTACCTTAATCCTGATCTAGTGTCCCATATCCACTAGACTCTGTGTTTCCCACCATCAAGGGCTGTCTTAATTACCTCTATCCACAGAGTTTATCATGAGGCAAGAAAACCAGACAAGTAAATTATGGTAAAGGTCGCATCCTTGAGCCCCTCCAATGGTGCCTGCCCCTTCCCGAGCCCCTGCTGAGGGCTCAGCCTTAGGCAATCATGCATTATGGTGTGGTGCCCTCTTAGCACCTGACCTAAGAGCAGCCAGTGCATGCCAGCAAGTTATGAGTTCAGGTACTTGTCAAAACACCACCAAAATAGGGAAAAAATTAGCTGATCAGGGTCTCAAAAATGCAGACCATAAAATGCAGACAGATTCACCAAATTGGCAGCAGTAACCACAGCTCACAAGTTCCAAAGAAGATAAGTACTAGGTGCCATGAGTGAACTAAAGAGGTAGGATACTAGGTTGGTGAAAACTTTATTGCAGTTTTTCTCATTAAAAGTAATGGCAAAAACTGCAATTACTTTTGCACCAACCTAATAGAAAAATAAGTATGATAGAAGGAGACATGCAGAGCAGATTGGAGGGGGTATGTGACAAAATTGATAGGTAGAAATAGTTACCCTAAGAGTACCTGGGCCAGGTGGAGAATTCTTGCAATGGTTCTTGCAACCTGGATTCTCCATGAACTTTCAGATAGTTTTCACAGTGGAGATGGTTCTTGGTTTTCCATGAGTTTCGAGTCTTGTCCTATGTATCTTTTTGCTGAGTTTACATTTCTGGATGGAGCATAAGTGAGCTGCAGTACTTGGCAACCCCAGGAGTCAAAGTAACAAAGACGACATCAAAAACTGCTAGTTGACTAGCTGTCTGAAAGACTAAGGAATGGGTCTTCAGTTATCTTCAGTTCCTCACATTGGCCTTTCTGGAGATGTGAATTTTTTTCTAGCTAAATGCTGTGATACTAGAACCCTAGGGCATCAGGTGACCTAAAAAGCCTGTGTGTTAGCTATGAATCTTCTATTATAAGCCATCTGCAGTTCTGCAACAAGATCATCAGGAGCCTTACTGACCAGGCTAGGGAGTTCAGACTCCATCCCATCCACAGAGCAGTTACCAAGAAGAAAACAGATTTGCTAGAAGAACGCAGCTGCAATATCAACAACTTCCTTATCAATAATTCCTGTACTAAAGCCTCTTCCACAGTTTGCATTTCAACACTGGGGCCCTTGTTGGCACTTCCCAGGATGACAGAAAGGCAGAGCTAACACCATTTTAGTAAAACATCAATCTCAAAATAAGGATAAACCTCTGTCAGCAACAGTTGTCCTCAGGGGGTTGGCGTCCTTTGCAACAGGACATTGTTTCATTTCCCTGGTTGTGCTCCTTTTCTTATTAAAGGCTAGCAAATAACTGCTGCAAGGTTTTCCACTCTCATCCATTCCCAACTGTCTCCGCCAGAAATATGTGAAACAAGAGGTGAACCAGCTGTATGACAGATGACGGAACTCTGGAAAGCAAAAGTTTGTCACCAGAGAACTCTAAGAACAGCTTCATAAACCACTGGCTACTTCACATGATCCTCTCAGAGTCTCCAGCAGGGGTGGCTAATTGTCCAGGACTACTTAGTACATAGTTTAAAACTTACTTCTAGATTTGAGAACCTTGCAGATGAGAAGAATGCTTTCTATATCTTCATCCAGGGCACAGATAAAATGTTGGAAAGGATCTATCTCAAACCCAAACCCTGTAGAATTGTTCGAAGACTTCCTAGGTAGACACAGAACTAGAAACCAAACCCTTTTGGATGAAATAGTTCAAACATTTGTCTATGAAGCAGAATGGTCAACTATACAGATTTTATTAACATTTGTAAAGATGACATACATAAATTTATTTTAGACATAGACGGGAACTCTTACAGCCTGGGAGCACCTTCAAGTTTGTATATCCACTCAACACACATAATGATTCCTTTCATGTTGGGCATAGGATTGAGCACTGTGGATTCAGAGACGATTAAACCCTTGTCCTTAAGAAACGTATGATCTAATAGAGAGAGGGGAATCCACATCAATAACAATGCTTTTCTCTCCTGCCTGCCTCTGTCACACTGAAAGTGTTTAGAGAGGTCCTAATGCAAACTGTGTACTGAGGAGGCTGGCAGTGCTTTGAAAGCCTTTTAGGGGCCACAGTAATTAAGGGGTATACAAGAAAATGGGACTGCAGGTTAATTTTTCCTAGATTCCACTAGAGGGAAAGCTCTGCATCCATCTTTTATGTCCTGGACTTTGATGTAGGATATCCATCAAATATTTCCATTGTTTTTAAAAAACAAAACAAAACAAAAATGTTCAAGTGGGGACTTCTCCTTTCTGCTTCCAGAAAGGTGGGGTAGATGGGTTGTTCCCTATTCTGTCTCTTAACTACCACTAAAAACCCTGGACATTATATATAAAACAAACACAAGAATACTCTGAAAGATAAAGATAAGAGGACAGACCAGCTAGGAACTTCTGGACATGGTGAGTTCCCTGGGTTTTCATTTCACCTCATGTATCCTAGACTTGGGACTGAAGAAGCTGGCAACCCAGAAATGTCAATAAGCACAAACAACAGAAGCTGGTTCTATCCTGCCAAAGGACCAGGAAAGGGGCAGCCTAGCAAGATAGAAACTTTTAGACACTAACCACTGTCTTCTAGCCAAACAACACAGATGAAAGCTAGCCTCACCCACCCCACCACACACACAAAGGCATAGAGTGTGAAGCTTAGACTTCCACTCTCTCCAGGCTGTAATGAAGTGCCCCACCATACCTCCTCTCCTGCTGGGTTGGTGTCCAGGAAGGCCAAGAAGGTAGCTGGGATGTCCATCCTCACTGGGTGGTAATGAGCTCATATCCTTCCTCATAATGTCAGGCTGGTGAGCCTGAGTTTCCACCTCCCACCTGTTAGTAACGAGGTGCCCCCCCTCCCTCCCCACTGGGCATCAGTGGAGCCTAGTGGAGAGTCAGGACCTTCACCTCTGCCCAGCAATAATAAGGCCACCCTTCCACCTCTGTGGTGTCAGAGAGTCCACATATGAAACGAGAAACAGGCATTCCTACCCCTCTTAGTCAGGGAGTTATTAGTAGAGGCCTAGAGAGAACCACGACTCCCACCATCCCCAAGCAGTAATGACGAGCCCCCATCTCATGTGTTAACAGAGATTTAGTGGGGAAACCAGAGTTCTACCCCTACCTGCCAGTAACAAAACAACACAGCTTCTCCTTCCTTTGTTGAAGTAGTGTCAGAGGAAGCCAGCTAAAATGGACAGCTTAAACGAGACCCATAGTCTCATAATACAGTAGCAGAAATGCCCAGATTTCAATACAGAATTACTCAACACGTCAAGAATCAGGAAGAACTGAATAAAATTTCAACTCAAATGAAAAGATCATAGATTTCATCACTAAGATGATAGAGATAATAGAATTATCTGTCAAAGATTTTAAAGCAGTCATAAAAATGTTTTAATGAGCAATACAAACATACTTCAGACAAATAAATCAAAAATGGGAAAGTCTCAGCAAAAAAAACAGAAGATACAAAAAGCCAAATGAAAAATTTTGGAACTAAAAATAGAACTGAAATGTTAAAAAAAATGGTTATGCTTAACAGCAGAATTAAGAAAATAGAGGGGAAAAAAATCAGTGACTTGAAAGACTGGATAGTAGAAATCACAGAGACGACAGAGAATATTTTTTAAAAAACCCACCGACTTGTAGGACTATAAGAAAATATTTAACATTAATGTCATCAGGGTCATGAAAGGAGAAGAGAGAGAGGGTGAGGCTGAAAAAGCACTTAACAAAATAATTGAAAACTTCCCAAATTTGGCAAAAGACATAAAATCTACGGATTCAAAATGGTGAGCAAGCTTCAGACAGGATAAACCCAAAGTAATCCACACTAAGACATATCAGAGTCAAATCTCTGAAAACTAAAGACAAGGAAAAAAATTCTTGAAAGCAGCCACAGTAAAATTCCTTGCTTACAGGGGAAAACAATTCAAATTACAGTGGATTTCTCATCAGGAACTATGTAGGTCAGAAGACAGAGGCACAACATTTTCCAGTGCTAAAAAATAAATATAGAATTTTGTCAACCCAGAATCCTACATCCAGCAAATTATCCTTCAAAAATTGAGGAAAAATAGGACATTCTCTGGTTAAGAAAAACTGAAAGTACTCGTCATCTGCAGACTTACCCTCAAAGAATGACAAACAAAAGTTTTCTGAACAGAAAGGAAATAATAAAAGAATTTCTGAACTTTGGGAAGGAATAAAAGACATGGTAAACAAAAATATGAGTATATATAATAGACTTTCCTTTTGCACTTGAATTTTCTAAATTATGTTTGACGGCTGAAACAAAAATTATAACACTCTCTGATGTGGTTCCAAACATATGGAGAGGAAATATTTAAGGCAATTATATTGTAAACAGAGGAGCATAATGGGATATAAAAGGAGGTAAGGTTTCTGGCACTTCACTTGAACTGGTAAAATGATACCACCAGTGGATGGTGATAAGTTGTGTACATACAATATAATACCTAGATAACCACTAAAAATGCTATATAAAGAGGTATACTCAAAAACATTATAGAAAGAGCAGATTTTGAATGTTCCCAACACAAAGAAATAAGTGTTTGAGGTGATGGATATGCTAATGACCCTGATTTCATCATTGCACATTGCACACATGTATCAAAATATCGCACCATACCCCTTAAAGATATATAATTATGTGTCAATTTAAAATAATAATAGCCAAAAAGGTATTATAAATAAAATAATTTTTTAATGTTCAAGAAACCCACTGAAAGGCAGGAAAAAGGAAACAAAGAAAAGAGCAAAAAATAAAATGGCATACATATCCCAAACATATTAATAATCACATTGAATGTAAATGGACTAAATACACCTATTAAAGGACAGAGATTGGCCAACTTGGTTGAATAGCAAGACCCGATTATATGCTGCCTATAAAAACTTAACTAGTATAATGTAGGCAAGTTGAAGGTAAAAGGATGCAAACATCAATAAAAAGAAAACAAGAGTTGCCATATTATCATATAAAGTAACTTCAGAACAAAGAAAATTATGAGACACAGACATTACTTACGATAAAAAGGTCAGTCCACCAAGAAGACATAGCACTACTAAATACACCAGAAAAAGATAGCCTCAAAATATGTTAAGCAAACACTGATAGAAACAAAAAGAGAAGTACATGGGCAATTATAGTTGAAAATTTCAAAACCTCTCTCTTAACAATTGATAGTAACAACTAGACAGAAAATCAGCAAGGCTAACAAATAATTCAATAACATCATCAACCAACAGTATCTAATTGACATTTATAGAACCTATCACCTTCAAACAAGAAAATATACACGATTGTCAAGTGCCTATGGCACATATCCTAAAATAGGCCACATCCTGGGCCATAAAATAAACCTCAACAAATTTAAAATTATTGAAATCAGATTGTGTTCTCTGACCATAATGGAACCAAACTAGAAATTAATAACAGAAAGATAATAAGATGATCTTTGATTATTAATACTTGGAACTAAACAATATAATTCTAAATAAGAAATGGACCAGTAAGAAGTCTCAAGAGAAATTTAAAAATACGTTTTACTGAATGCAAATAAGAAAGCAACATGTCAAAATCTGTGGGACACATCTAAAGCAGTGCTGAAAATGAAATTTTTATCACTGAACAAGCTTCCATTTGCAAAAAGGAAGACTCAAATCAGTGGTCAAAGCTCCCATCTCAAGAACATAAGGTGGAAAAAAGAGCAAAATAAACCCAAAGCAAGCAGAAAGAAGGAAATATTAAAAGTCAAAACAGAAATTATGAGATTCAAAACAGAAAAACAATAGAGACAGTGAAACAAAGAGCTGGTGCTTTGAAAAGAGCAATAAAATTAATAAACCTTTCACAAGATTAACAGTGGAAAAAAAAAGACAAATTACCAATATCAGAAGTCATTACAGGCCTGAAGGCGTCAAAGTAATAACAAGAGAATGCTAGAAATAGCTGTACGCTCATAAATTTGACAACTTAGATAAATGGATCTACTTTTGTGAAAAACACAAACTACCATAACTCACCTAATATGAAATAATTTAGATAATCTTATAATTATTAAGGAAAATTGAATTTATAATTTTAAAAACTACCAGACCGGGCACGGTGGCTCACGCCTGTAATCCTAGTACTTTGGGAGGTCGAGGAGGGTGGATCACAAAGTCGAGAGATTGAGACCATTCTGGCCAACATGATGAAACCCCATCTCTCCTAAAAATACAAAAATTAGCTGGCTGTGGTGGCACGTGCCTGTAATGTCAGCTACTCGAGAGGCTGAGGCAGGAGAATCACTTGAACCAGGGAGTCGGAGGTTGCAGTGAGCTGAGATCGTGCCACTGCACTCCAGCCTGGAGACAGAGTGAGACTCCATCTCAAAAAAAAAGAAAGAAAGAAAAAAAAACTACCAAAAAAGAAATCTCCAGGCCCAGCTGATTTCACTGGAGAATTCTAATATTTAAAGAAGTATTAATACTAATTTTATGCAATCTCTTTTAGAAAATAGAAAGGGGAATATATCCCCATTCATTTTATAAAACTAGTAGTGTCCCAATACCAAAACCAGACAAACATAGTACCAAAAAAATAGGCTAATATTCCTAATAAGTATAGATGCAAATATATGTGTGTGTGTGTATCATTTATTTATAAACACACTATGAGCAGCTGAAATTATTCCAGAGAGTGTAAGGCTGTCTCAGTACTCAAAAACTAGTCAGTGTAATCCACTGTATTAACAGGCTAAAAAAAAAAAAAACAACAACAACCATAATCGCATCAATCAAATCAGATAAGAATTTGACAAAATTCCACACTTATTCATGATTAAAAAAAAAAAACCTTCAGCAAACTAGCAATAAAGGGGAACGTTCTTGAATTGAAAAAGAGCATCTACAAAAACTTAAAATTAACATTATGTTTAATGTCAAAAGACTGACATTTTATTCTAAAACTCAGGAACAAGCCAAGGATATTCACTCTCACCACTCTTACTCAACATAGTGCTAGAAGCTCTCGCCAGTACGATATGGCAAGAAAAGGAAATAAAAGTTACATAGAGTGAAAGGAAAAAATAAAACCATCTATATTTTCAGATGACATGATTGTGTAGGAAGTTACAAGGAATCTCTATCCCCTCAAAATCTTTCTAGAACTAACAAATGAGTTAATAAAGTCACAGGATGTAAAATACACATAGAAAAATCAATTCCAGAATGTGCTGGGATTACAGGCATAAGCCACCTCACCCAACATGTTTCCCTTTTTTATCATTCATATTTTCACTGGAGTAGCACTTTAATTTCCTTAAAGAGCTTTTCCTTTGAATTTACAACTTGACTGAGCTTAATCATTTGTAGCTTTTGATTTAGAGTAAGAGATGTGCAACTCTTCTTTTCCCTTGAACACTTAGAGGCCATTGTGGGGCTATTGAATTTTGACCTAATTTCAATATTGTTGTCTCTAAAGGAATAGGGATGCCTAAGGAGCAGGAGATGGGGAAATGACCAGTCAGTGAAGCAGTCAGAACATACACAACATTTATCGACTAAGTTTAATGTCTTACATGGGTGTGGTTTATGGTGCCCCAAAACAATTACAGTTGTAACCTGGAAGATCACTAATCACAGATCACTATGCCACATATAATAATGAGAAACTTTCCAATATTGCAAGAATTACCAAAATGTGACACAGAAACACTAACTGAGCACACGCGTTTGGAAAAATGGTACCAATACTTGCTCAATGTAGAGTTGCCACAAACTTTCAACTTGTTAAAAAAAAAAAAAAAAAAACTCAGTATCTGCAAAGCACAATAAAATGAGGTGTGCCTGCCTATGGAGGAAAGGTCCTTTTCAATAAATGGTACTGGAGCAATTGGACACAAAGACATGCAAACAAAATATTAATCTTGAGTCTCATATATTATACAACAATTAACTTAAGAATGAGTCACAGATTTAAATGTAAAGCATAAAACTACAAAACTTTTAGAAAAACAGGAGAATCTTCAGGGTCTAGGACTAGGCAAAAAGTATTTAAATATGACACCAAACGCATAATCCATAAAAGATGAAATTGATAAGCTGAGCTTTATTAAAATTAAAAACTTCTGTTCTATGAAAGATCCTAAGATGATGAACAGACAAGCTATGAAGTGGGAGAAAATGTTTGCATGAAATCTGACAAAGGACTAGTATCTAAAATATTCAAAACTTGACAGTAAAGAAAAAAATTTAATTAGAAAATTGGCAAGATAGATGAAAAGACATTTCACTGAAGAAGATGTACAGATGGAAAATAAGCACATGAAAAGGTGTTCAACATGATTAGTCATTAGGGAAATACAAATTAAAACCACATTGAGATACCACTATACACCTATCGGAATGGCTAAAATAAAAAATGGCGTCAACACCAAATGCTAGCAAGGATGTAGAAAAATACATATTTCTGGTGGAAATGTAAAATGACACAGCCTTTCTGGACAACGTTGGCAGTTTCTTTAAAAATGAAACCTATAACTACCATATGACCCAGCAATTGTACTCCTTGGCATTTCTCCCAGAGAAATGAAGACTTATGTTGACACAAAAATCTGTCCATGAATGTTTATAGCAGCTTTATATTCATAATAACCCAAAACTAGAAATAACCCTCCTGTCCTTCAATGGGTAAATGGTTAAATAATCTGTGGTATATTCATATCATGGAAAACTACTCAGAAATTAAAGGAATGAACTACTGATACATGCTACAACCTGGATGAATATCCAGAGAATTACACTGAGTGAAAAAAGTCAACTTGAAAAGTTACATGCTGTATGAACATTCTTTTTTTATATATACTTTAAGGTTTAGGGTACATGTGCACAACGTGCAGGTTTGTTACATATGCATACATGTGCCATGTTGGTGTGCTGCACCCATTAACTCATCATTTAACATTAGGTATATCTCCTAATGCTATCCCTCCCCCCTCCCCCGACCCCACAACAGGCCCTGGTGTGTGATGTTCCCCTTCCTGTGTCCATGTGTTCTCATTGGTATGAACATTCTTGAAATGACAAAATTATAGAAATGGAGAATAGATTAGTGGTTGCTAAGAGTCAGGGACAAGGGAGGAAGGTGTGTGTCTACAAAGGGGCAATATGAGGGGTCTTTGTGGTGGTGGAAATGTTCTGTATCTTAAATGTGTCAATGTCAATATCCTGGTTGTGATACTGTACTAGAGTTTTGCAAGAAGTTGCCATTGGAGGAAATGAAATAAAAGGTACATGGAATCTTTCTGCACTATTTCTTGCAATTGCAGATGGCCCCAATTTTATCAAAATCAAAAGTTTAATTTTAGAAATGAAGCTGAAGAATTCCTCCAACCCAACTCAATAATTTCACAGTTGAAGAAACCAAGGCTCTGAAGGGGTCAGGACTGAAATCAGTTCTTCGGCCACCCACTGACCAAGTTTTATGCAGAAGTGGTCAACTCTTTCTAGTGCTTTGGCTTGGTCAGCCAATTGCTGGAATGAAACGACCTGAACCCACTAAGTGCCTGTCACTGTATCTTCACAATGGCTTTCCCTTGCACTTAGGCTTCCAAAGAAAAGGATGGTTAAACAGAATCCTGAGGGACTATGAAGTATGTTCTGAAAAAGACTCTAATGAACAGAGTAATAAGGTGCTCGGGACAGAAGATGGATGAGAAGAAGCATGGTTCTAAAGAGGTAAATCCAAATACAAAGGAAAAAAATAGAGGAAAATAACAGGAACTCTTTGGAGGCAATTGCTATATAGCTGAAAGTTTCAGAAAGCAGTACTTAAATAGTGGGAGGAGGATCATTCAAGTTCCATTTCAGTTTTTTTCATGCAAGAAAGAACTTCTAGTAGACTAGACCAAGGAAACCACAAATGACTTAGACAGACACTAATGTTTCCAGAGCAAGGAAAACGTCTCAACTTCTTTATTCACTTAGGCAATAAGAGCTCATGGGAAACCACCCAATTCAGGGACTACAAAGTTTGGGAGAACTCTATGTGTGCATGCGTGTGTGTGTGTGTGTGTGTGTGTGTGTGTGTGTGTGTGTAAAACAGAACAGACTCACCTGTCTTGGTAACCTGGTAGATAGAGACTGTGACCCTTCTAAACTCAGTAAACTAATACAGACTAGTGGCACTCAAGAAAGTGGATAATAGTCTAAAAGCACAGAAGTAGGACCATCTATTAAAAATGGGTGGCAAATTGGCTCAAATCCAGGAAACAGGTGGAGTAGAGAGCAGTCAGAAATAAGAAAGTGCTCACCTTATGGATAAGCATTATGGACACTTCAGTCTACCCTATATAAATAACCCATAATAGTGGTGTAATTTCAAAAATGGATACATTTGCTGACAGCATAATTGGAACAGAGGGGATGGTGCATACTGGCAGAACGGGCCCTCTGGGCCTGAGTCTTTCCCATTGCGCTGGGTCTCAGTTCCCCCTGGATCAATGCAAAAATATTTTGTCCTGGGGCAAAATATCAGCTTTTGCTTCAGTAGGAAATGTTTCTAAATTTGAACCTCCTTAAATTATTGTGGAACATGAAAGACTACAAAATAATAATAAATAGGGAAAGAAAAAGAAAATTCCTTCTAGAAGTTGAGGGCCCAGTGGATTAGGGCTTCCAACAATCATCCCAGGATCCATCCAAGAGCAGCAGCAAAGCAGCTCATGCAGCTTCCCCCACTAAGGATGGATCCCACAGTTTCTGGGAGTGAGCACCTGTACTCTACAGATATTGGACATGAAGCTTAGAATGGGGTTGAGGTGTGACAGGAAGGTGGGGAGATAGGAGACAGAAATGCACTGAGAAGAATACGGAGATTCCTCTGTAATGTTGGAGATAAAGGTCAAAATTGGAATAACAAGACCTAAACTGGGTTATCAGAGACAGGGAAACACAGCACATCATCAAAAGGCCTTGTTGGCTGAGAAGAAGCAGAGTGCCAACAGTGGGGGGCCTGGTGGAATACCCAAGCAGATGGAGAAAATCACATTTATAAGGCTGGTACCTGCAGTCGGACTCATTTACAGGGGATAGAAAGATACATCCAGAAGGAAGGTGGGACTTGTCACAAAAGACAGACATCCTGGATCTGCTACCTTCTGGCTCTGCAGCACTGGATCATCCATTGACACCCTCTAAGCCTCAGCTTCCTCTCTGTGAAAGGGCTGCTTCTGGGGATTGCTGTGATAATCAAAGGAGAGGGAAATGGATTGCACATAGTGTAACCTGCTTCTTGCTATTTTTTTGAGGAAACACTCATAAGACAAACTGACTCACATCAGGAATACCCAGTCTTCTTTTTATTATTATTAATTAATTAATTTATTTATTTATTTATTTATTTATTTATTTATTTTTGAGACAGAGCCTCACTCTGTCACCCAGGCTGGAGTGCAGAGGTGTGATCTCTGCTCACTGCAACCTCCACCTCCCAGGCTCAAGTGATTCTCTTACTTTAGTCTCCCAAGTAGCTGGGCTTACAGGCGTGTGCCACCATGCCCAGCTAATTTTTGTATTTTTAGTAGAGATGGGGTTTCACCATGTTGGCCAGTCTAGTCTCAAACTCCTGACCTCAAGTGATCCACCTACTTTAGCCTCCCAAAGGGCTGGGATTACAGGCGTGAGCCACCAGGCCTGACCCTCAGTGTTCTTTCTGGATGGAATTGTGAGAAAGAATACTTTTGTCTTTGATCTAATTGCATGTGATTTCAACAAATGCTTCTATTTCCAAGTGCCTAGTGGTTTGGTTTCACAGTGTCTGCCACCCACATAGTAGTGATGTCTATAGTCTTTGTCATTCTTCCATGGACTCCAGCAATGGTGCATGTTGGTGCTGGTGAAGAACCTTCATTCAGATGTAGAAACAGTGGGTTCTTCATATATACTTGGCATAGTATTAAACTAAAAATTTGAAATTAAAACCACGAGAAAAGTGGTATGCCAATATGCTGCTTGTGCAGTTGAGAATAGTTACTGTAGGTGGGATTCAGTTTTGACTCTGAGCTTCCTAGCAGCCAAGGCAAAAAGGTAGTTATATTGGATTATTTAATGCTCACCATCTGTAAAAAGAAAGCATGCCAATTCTTTAACTGAAATAAATTCTAAAGCAAATAGATTATAATGAACATTGTAATACCTTCAAAAATAGTTCTACAGGGAATGCAGAAATGTTTAAGATGAATTTTTTCCACATCTGTGCATAATTCCAAGACTTTTGTCCATTAGGAACATAGTATAATAAAGTCCAGTAGCTTTTTAGTGATCCAGCTGCACTCAAGGACAGAACTCAGAACATGTTGCAGAATCAGTGAAGCGTATTCCCATAATTAAGCAGTGTCTAATCCTGATTGCATGTCAGGAATACCTATAGAGAGACCTGTGAATCAGAATTTTGGGAGTGAGGCCACTTTCTCTGTTCCCCCTAGAGAGGCTGATGCACATCCTTATTTAAGAACAGCTGATAAATTATCTTAGCAAAGGAGTTGAGCAACACACAACTAGAGACCAGATCCTTCCAAAAGATCACAAGCATTTAATGTGGTTTGCTAACCTTTTAAAAAATTTGAACAAATCTATGGCTTATCCAGATAATTTGAAAATGGACTTGCCTGCATTTGATGAGTCTTGCCACCCTTTCTTTCCATGGTCTCTCAAGCAGGAGATGGGGTGTTTGGGCAGTTCAACACTTGGACATTTTGGCTTTGGAAAGGCCATGTTCTTTTATGCCTCAAGTAGTTAACTTATGCTACTACCCCTGTCTGATACCCTCTTTCCCTGCTCACCCCAGCCCACCCATCCTCATCCCTCACCTTGCTAACCCCTACTTATCCTGTGACCCCACTTAAATGTCATCCCATGCAGGAAGCCTCCCCAAGGACACACACTTGAACAAGGTCTTTCTCCCAGCACCTCCTTCTTGACCCTCCCTAGGACTAGTAACTTCCTGTTCAATAGTGTCTTCTCCACTCTCCCATAAGGGCCGATACTATTTGGTCTTCTTTACCTTGTATCTCTGGTACTCAGCATAGAGCCTGGTGTATGATAAATGTCTAATACATATTTGTCAAATGAATGTAAAAATATATGGCCTGCCATATTGTATACATGAGGAAACTGAGGATCAGAGAGGCAATCACCGAAAGTTCAACTGAATGTCAGTTGCAGAACTGGCCTACAGGAATAATGAATGTGATAAAAATGTACTGATCCTTTAGTAAGTTTCTGGCACTTTGCTGCATACTACTCATCCATTATCTAGGTGAGTTGTTACCAGATGACTATTGAGTCATTCCTAAAGCCAGGTACCATCTTGAATTCTCTCCCACATCCCCTCATCTAATCCCCCATCATGTTCTGCCAGCTTTTCCCACAGAATACATCCCATATCTGACCTCTTTCGCTCCACTATAGTCTAAGCCACTGCCATTGTTTTCCTTGACTACTGCAATGCCACAGATGATCTCCCTGCTTCTACTCTTACCCCCCGCCCCAGTTATTTTCCCTACTAGCAGCCTGACAGATATTTTACAAATACGAATCAGGTCATGTTGCTCTTCTGCTTAAAAACCTCCAATGGCTTTCTACCACACTGCAGTGACTTGCATACTTCTGACCATGCCTTGAGGCCAGCAGGATCAGCCTGGCCTCATTCTCTGACCTCCTCCACCACTTGCCCCACCTCTTGCTTCTCTGCAGCCACACTGGCTGCCTTTCAACTCTGCAGCACTCTGAGCTCATCACACTTGCTCCTCCTTCGGGGCCTGTGCCCAGGCTGCCCCATCTACCTGAAACCCTCTTTCTACTTCCTCACTGTCCAACTTCGGGTCTTGGCATAGCTGGCTCATTCTTGTCACTCTTATCTCATTCAAATGTCACTTCTTCAGAAACATCGTCCCTAACCCACCTCAATCCAAAAGAGCCCCCTTAGTCATCAACTTATGCTGCTTTTCTTTTATAGTACTCACACTATGTAAATTTTTCTTGTGCATTTATTAGCTGCTCTACTTCCTTCACTAGCGATTGACTCCTTGAGTTATTTTCAGCCCCCAAGACCTCATCTGCCTCATTGTATCCTTCATACCTACAGCATCACTTGCTCCTTCATTATAAATGTTTTTAATTAACAAATAAACACCCATTTTTCAGATGAGATAACTGAGGCTCAGAGGAATCAAGTGAGTTGTCCATGATCACATACTTAAGAAATGGCAGAACTGGAATTTGACCACATGCAGCCTTTCTCTGGAAACTTCACTCATTCCTAAAATTCCAGATTCCCTGTCTTTGAGCCCAGTGCCCAGTTCTCTCCAACATTCCTGATTCCTAGAAGGGGAGGACTGAGGACTGGGTGGCTTTTTCCTCCCTGACGGCTGAGATCCTCAGACAAACTGGGTTTAAGAAAGTGTCCTCCTCCCCACAGACTGTAGAAGGCAGAGTACCAGGGTTCCTTCCACTGGCTGCTCCTGTGGCTCATCCTGTATGTGAAGACATTTTGGCAGCCCCCACTGTGACATTATGGGGAGCAGCCCTCACACAACCCTGTTCCTGGGCCTCAGATGGAATGAAGATTTCCTCCTGCCTAAGAGCCACTGGGGACAGGGTGATGTGCATAAATGAGACGTGACCGTACTTTAAGGAGTGCACAGGCTCTCTCTACAGCATGCAGGGTCTGAGAGCCTCGAGGTCACCATACAGAGAGGCAACACAGAGTGTGAGCGGGAACACACCTGGGAGGTGAGCTGCAGCAGGAGGGGCGGAGCATCGCCATCCTGCCATACACTGGGTTTATTAGCTGAGGAAAGTCATTTCCCGGAGCCTCAGCTTACTCATCTGTAAAATAGTGATAGTAAGCACCAGTGCAGAGCCCCCATATGTTTGTTCTCATTATACTCAGATGATGAAGCTGGGTAGGCAAAGGACAGAAAGGCAAGTCATTGCTGAAGAGACATTTGAAGAGAACATGAGGTGGCAGGAGTTTGAATAATATTAATATTACATTCCCTTGCATGGCACTATTGCTTTACAATGTACTTTCACATCTATTTTCTCCGGGACTCCTCACAGCCCTCCTATATACACGTTGCTATTATCATAATTACCCTCACCTCAAGCATACAATATCCTCAGGAAAGAAGATACTCGGTCTCAGATATACAGAGTCATGTAGCGAGGGTTAATTGTTAGAAAAAAAAAAAAAACCTCAGATATTTATAGTAAGGTCCGTCTTTGAGTTTGCTTTCTACCATTCCAATCCTTGTTAAAGTCTCTGAACATCAGTTTCCTCCTCTTTAAAATGGGGACAATAGTTTCTGCCCTGCCTACCTACCTCCCAGAGCCTTGATCTTGTAAGTGAAAGACATTAAGATAAACACCACAGTGCTGTGAGGTGATACTGTCACATGTCCCACCGAAGGATACCATTGCTTTCTCATCTCACTTTTTTTCTGAAGCAGAATTAATCCTCTCTGAAAGTGGTGTTTTCTGCCTACCTTCCAGAATCTGAGAGAAGATTCTAGAATAATCTGGCCTAGTCTACTAGTCTTAGAGCCATGTGACATAATTGCAACCTTGAGAAGACATGTGAGATATCTGAAGCCTTGCAGCCACACACAGAGGGCCCTGGGCTCCCTGCTGAGTCATCACCCATGGGTAAGCCTCGTCCACTCTTGGACAATCTCAGAAGACACAGGGTCACAGTCCAGAAAGTATCCAGAAAAGAACAGGCTTGCCACAAAGCCAAAGCAGCCCATGCCCAGGCTGTCAGAGAAAGACTGAGGTTGCCCACATGAGCTGATTCTGCCCATTCTCAGGCAAAATCGGCCAGTACCACTTCTTGTCCGCCCATACCTTGTCTGTGCCTGAGGCTGAAGGTGCCACCTGTGAGCCCAATAGCAGTGTTCTAGGGCGACCCCGGGCCCAGCACACAGTTGCTCCTGACCGCTTCCCACTGGCAGCCACTGCATGTCTTATGCTGCTCAATTCCCCACTTTTTATTCTGTTTAACGGTGGTGAGAGGAGCCGTGGCCTGCCCTGAGGAGTGTCTGCAGTGAGAGCAGGCACTGAATTGATTTTCAAGATTAACTGTCATCTCCAGCTGGGAAGCAGCTTGCACAGGAACTGAGCAATCTTCCTGGGTTTTCTCCTGCTTCAGAAATCACTTTCTCTGCCAGGTGTCTGATAAGGCTGGATTGGTAGGTCCTAGGAGGTCTTTTCCCGGTCACTGAAGGATTAAGTCTTCCAATATGTGAACACCAGGAGACACGAAGAGAACTTCTAGTAAGAAGGGCTCACCTTGTGGTTGTAAGTTTCATCATCTTTGCTGTGTGAACCTAGGCAAATTGCTTAACCTCTCTGAAACTTCAGCTCCTCATCTGAAAAACATAGACAATTAACACCTACCTTATTGTGTGCTTGTGAAAATTAAACATAATGTATGTAAAGTGCCTGGCCTAGAAAAGCATTCCATAAAATGAGTGATGATTATTATTTAATTCCCACCCTTCCAGTAGCTGACTTCACCCAGAGCTGTTCCTTCAAACTGGGTTCATATTTTCCACAGAAACTAAATAAATTAATAAGGGAGGCCAAGAGGAAATAAATGAATAAATATTTTATTTGGCTGAGAAAATTTTATCTCATCCATAGTCCAAGTTCCTGATGGTTTCATACCTTGGTGGTTCTTCTTCATCAACTTACCTGCCCATCTCACCTCTAAATGGTCCCCGCGCCATTCTGGTGTCCAGAATAGATGCAGAGATTTAGCTTATCCTGTTTCTTGGACCAGTGCCAAAGCTCCTCCTTATTAATGTTCAACCTGTTCTCTCCTGAAATCTCCTCTGCCTCAGGAGTGCTTCCTCTGGCATGAGATTACTGGTTCCCATGTTAGTTGCGAGACTGTGAGGTCCATCTGTTGAGATCCAATGAATGACCTTGGTTATTAGCCATGCCTGCTTGAAATGTCACAATGTGCCCCGCGCGGTGGCTCAAGCCTGTAATCCCAGCACTTTGGGAGGCCGAGGCGGGTGGATCACAAGGTCAGGAGATCGAGACCATCCTGGCTAACATGGTGAAACCTAGTCTGTACTAAAAATACAAAAAAATTAGCCAGGCGTGCTGGCGGGCGCCTGTAGTCCCAGCTACTTGGGAGGCTGAGGCAGGAGAACGGCGTGAACCCGGGAGGCAGAGGTTGCAGTGAGCCGAGATCGTGTCATTGCACTCCAGCCTGGGCGACAGAGCGAGACTCCGTTTCAAAAAAAAAAAAAAAAAAAAGTCACAATGTACTCACTTCTGCAAGAACCAACTTCCTTGCTACCATCCACAACCCAGCACCCATTGTTTCTCATCTAAAACAGGATCACGCTGGATGCTTGTTAAAGATGCAGAGTCCTGGGCTGTACTCATACCACTGAATAGCTAAAGGAAGTAAGGAAAATGATATGATTCTACCCAAGCCGAATCTCTAAGGGTAAGGCTAGGAATCTGCCTGTGTAGGAAACCCCCAACTCATTATTGTGCTGATGAAAAGTTGAGAAGCACTCCAAGAAAGTAACAGAAAGACTCTTAAAATTGCATAGTCCTCCCTCTGCTTTTATCCATGGAGAGGAGTGTGTAAACATCTGAGTGAGGCAATCCACCATACAGAAGCATTTGCTATCTGTGAAAGGCCCACGTGTTCAAGAAATTGTAATGAGAAATCTTAGGGCAAAAGACAAGTTCCATATTCAGTTCATCTGTATATCATTTCATGTAGCACAGGGCTGGCCGGCAGATGGTGTGCACTGAATGTTGAGTTTATGTCTACATGTCAACCTCCATCTGATGGGCAAAGCAGGGAGAAGCATTTGATTTTTACTTGAATGTTGCCAAAATGAATTTAGTTTTATAATATTACAGATTACTTGATATCCATGGAGAAAGGTTTTATGTATACATACATACACATTTGGCCAGCATAAAGAAAGGACGTGCTCTCTCAGACTTATGGTGAAAAGGAAAAAAAGAAAATAATATTGAGGGCCAACTATGTGCCTGACAGTTCCGTATATTTTTATACAATTATCTCCTATAATCTTCTCAACTACCTTAGGTAGGTATTTTAGTTCTACCTTCAGATAAACATTGTAGCACAGGGTTTAATCATTTTCCCTACTTCCCTTAGCTATTCAGTGGCACGGCCCATCTTCAGACTGAATTCTGGCTGAATTAATGAATGTCTTTATCCATGGCTTCCTTCTTAATGAATGTTTGTGTGGCTCTTCATAGTTAACAGAGTGTGTCTAAGTAAATCAGGGTCTACTAGGGAGTATAAAAGAAATGGACAAATATCTATATTAGGAGGTTGAACTGGATTTGAAAAGAGAAATGATGTTATGGGAGTTCACAGGAAGTGGCATTTGGGATTGGCCTGGAAGATTGCTCTAGGGGAGAAAGAATGAGAGGGCTTACCCACTGGCAGGGACTCCTCTACCAATAATCCCATAAAGGAGGAAACACCAAGTAATCCAGATTGACTGTAGCAGCAGCTAAGGCCCTGGCAGGAGAAGGAAGCATGGCCGTATAATATGGCCACTGGACATAATTTTACTTTTCTCCGTCAATACTCTGCAGCCCTCGAAATTGTGGCCATAATACCACAACTTGTTTAGGCAGAAAAGGCCAAATGTCAATGATGTAAGGGTTGGCAGGAAGTGTCCTACTGTGGGCATGGCTGGCTTTGGAGCTTCAGCTGAGCTATAAATCAAGGAGAATTGCAGAAGGAAGTTGAGATGGGACATGAGAACCTGAAGGATGGATGATGAAGAATAGGAGCCTGTAATAAGGGATTTAACAATTTGAATTCCTTCTGCTGCAAGGAACAGAAAACTCTGAATCAAATGAGTTTAAATTATAAGGAAATCAATGTGTTAACACATACAACAAGAAGTCCATAAGTAAGGCACTACTAGGCAAGGACTGTGAGGGCTCTGCTTCTCTTATAACCTACAGGTTCTGTGCCCTTCTCTGTGTATTGGCTTCATCCTCAGGTCAGTAGCAAAACAGCTGCAAGAATTACAGAGGTCACCTCAGAGAGCACATTAACCAGGGGGAACCTGGGACTGTATCCTTCTTGTGCCTTTTATTAGGAAGAAGGAAACAATTTCCAAAAGCCCCCCAGCAGACTCCCTCTCATGTTTCATTAGCCTGAAATAGCTCATTCGTCCATGTCTATACCAAGCACAGCAGAAGGAAGGGGTTCCCATGATTGGCGTATCATCTGGAGTAGAATAGATGCTGGGGACTCAGCTGAATGGCCCCTGCAAGGAGAAAAGGAGGGAGCCCAGGTGTTCTTTCTAAGCCCTTGGGTGTTTTTCATGCTCCCCTCTTTAAATTCTTCCATCCACTCTGCAGGCACATGCTATTACTCTCTCTTTGCAAATAAGAACATAGAGGCTCAGGCAACGGGCCCCTGCCTAGGGTCCCACATCTCTGCCATGCTGCAAAGCCTCTGCTGTATTTATTACTCTACGCTGCAGGTTCTGGGAGAAAAGTGGAAAGACAGAAGCTGTGCCCAGAGAGAAGCGTTTTGGTGCTGAATGTCTTACATGTGGCAACTTTTTTTTGAAGTGTTACGTGCTTGGTTGGCTTCCATGAAGACCTCTAGGGCTGAGTTGAAAGCAGCATCAAAAACAGAGAATCCCCAAACAGGTAGGCTAAAAGGTTTCCCTGGGGCAGAATCCTGAAAACATCCCCCTGGATTGAAGAGTTTGGGGCAGGGACCTCTGGTGTCTCTTGTGGGTCCTGTGACAAGTCACACACCTTGAGCAGAGCATGAAGGAGCCTGGCTGGGGAGCCAGTCTGCCTGTGTAAGTTGGCTCAGGCATCAGTATTTTCTTTCCCTCCTCCTCGTACTTCATACCAAATATGGAAACAGATACCTGCCTACCATCTGTCTCCAAAGAACTACAGCTCCACAGTTCATCGCATATATGGTAGGAGCCAGATGGGGTGATGTGTTCTTTTTTCCTGGGCATTCAGAGAATGGGAAATCCGTGAGCAGGAAGCAACCTGAGTGATCATCTAGTCATTTGGAGGTGAAGAAAAATCAGGGGCCAGAGAAGCCAAGTTAATTGTCCTGGGACAGTAGCAGGGCTGGCCTTGAACCAAGTGTCTCATCTCCCAGGCTAATGCCCTTTCTACTGAATTGAGCTGCTTTTCATCATCTAGTTGACAATAAGAACTGAAAGCAGATGTGTTTTCTCTCTTCCTAAGACAATCTCAAGCCCACTGCAGTTGATGTCCAGGATGGGCAGGCATTCTCCCAGAATCCATACTGAATTTGCCATTGACTCTTCTCAGAACTGAGCATTTTTTGTGTCTGCCTGGCCCTTTACAGGGTAGGGTCTGCATGGCTGTGTTTCACATTTGACTCCACAGTTACCTTCTGTGTTGTGCCAGCAGTGTTCCCTCGCCTCTAGCAATGTGAAACCTCATTGCAGTTTTGCTCTTTAGCCACTTAATCCTGGCTACATATTAATAACACAAGTCTAAACCATTAGGAATTATTGAGGTTGAAAAGGTGCAGGCAGAAGTGGCCTGGAATGACAGCTGCTCTCTATTTAGGGCAAAGGTGATCATAATTCATAAAGAGCAATGAACTCGTTTTTGGACTAACAGAGTAAGAGTCAAAAGATTGGGAAGATCTGAAGGCTCCCCGATCTTGGATCCTAGAACTTAGAAAAATACAGAGGCTGCTCTGTCATCCTACTTTCATCCCAAGCAGTTGAGCTCTTATCTAGCTTGACTTTGAATCCTAGTGGGTCTTGGTGACCAGAGATGAACCTTTATTGTAGGAGATCACAGAACCAGCTTCTGGGCCTGGTGTACCAGAGGCTGGTATATAGTCAACAGCAGAAAGCAAACGAAATTAGTAAAATCCCATTACCCACTTGAGAAGACTTACACAATGCTCTTAAAAATATTTTCTACTGGGCTCAGTGGAAAGGATGGTGGAAGGTTATGGATATAGTTAGGTTTTCATCTTTAATAGGAACATCAATAATATCTAATACTCCTAAAGTCACTCCTTGTGAAAGTGGTTAAATGTAACTCTATCCACTCCTCTCCTCCTCTCCCCAAAGTCCATCATGTTTTAAGGGTGGAGATCTGAGTAGTATTCATCCGTTACTCACAAATAACATCCTCGGAGGGCCTGGATGAGGGTCAGGCAAGCCAGGTGCTTAGGGCACAAAATTTCAGAAAGCTCTCACTCTGAGAGTCCTAAAATGCTGTGTGCCAGAGCCCTGGCTTGCCTAACTGTTTCCCGCCTCATCACCCTCTTGAGTATCTGACACGCAGCAGATGGGTGGTGAATATTGGTTTGCATGCTATTCTCTCCACTACTTGAAATCCTCTGTCTCCACATCACCTGCAGAAGACTGAATGGGGCCAACACCACACTCTGTGAGCTGAGCTGGCTCCTGTATCCAGTCTAGCCTTAGAGACCTTCAGGCTTTGCCTTACACTCCACCAATGTTAAACTCCTTAAGGCCCTCTCCCATGGGGTCCAGCAGAGTTGATATTCAGTAAAAGGTTGATGAATGAATTGATGTGTCAGTCCGGAAACACTGATACTACACTGATAGAATGAGTCCAAATTATGACTGAGAT
Organism: Homo sapiens; assembly: GCF_000001405.40. Taxonomy (NCBI): domain Eukaryota; kingdom Metazoa; phylum Chordata; class Mammalia; order Primates; family Hominidae; genus Homo; species Homo sapiens. Next base: position 107,107,724 of record NC_000009.12, read on the forward strand.
AGAAGACCTAAGGAAGTGATCTGGTAGTGTCTAAGTGGGCAGGCTCTGGAGTCAAACTGCCTTGGTGTGAATCTTCATCAGGACCTCTGTCTTCCACATCAGATTTTCCCTAAGCTTCAATTACCTCCTTCAAAAGCAAAGGAGGGAGGAAGGCAGGGAGGGAAGAAGGGAAGAATGGAGGGAGGGAGGAATGGAGGAAGGAAGGGAGGAAGAAAGGGAGAGGGAGGGAGGCAGGAAGGAAGGAAGGAAAGAAAGAAAAAATCTACTTCATTGATGTGCAGGTTTAAAAAAATAGTTAATGTAAATCCTTAGCAGAACAGCTGACACTTATAGTACTCAATAAGTGGTGGTTAATGTTCTTACAAATTGGAAACAAAATTCAATCTTTGAGAGGTATTTATAAATCTACTGACTGCAGCTGAATTTCAGAAGGTGACAGTGACATAGAGCTAGCACTTAGATGCCTCCGGTCACCCTGAGATGTCCAAGTCCTCTCTTTAACAGGTGCCTGCCAAGACCAAGACAGGGAGACACTTTTCCCAGCTCCAAACTTGCCCTGGAAGAGATCACAGAAGAATAAAGGCGTGGAGTCTGGGTTTCCATGTCTCAGTTGCAAGACCCTGCACCAGAATTTGTTACCTCATTACTTAGTGTCTGAGCCTTGAAGAAAACATGTAAATTATGCAGAAAGGCACCATATTGTCGGAGGCAAATGAGACCTTCATTATCCCTGTGTGAGCAGAGCTTAGCCAACAGAGCAGAGAGAAACAGTAAACCCTTCAAGGTCTGGCAGCACAGATGGGTGCCCAAAAAGGTTCCAGGGACCCTCAGAGCAGGGCCAAACGCTGTCGTTATTCAAGTGGTTAACACATGGCTAGGCACGTGGTGTGTTCCTAATGATTTTGCTTCTCTGCAGCCTTCTCCAGGGGAGGCTGCTCTTCTGCCCACAATCCTCACTACCACGTTGTTAAAACACACAGCCTACAACCCAGGGGGTTTGCATTCTCCTGGGTCCCATGGTGATTAGCAGGAATGTCCATTCCCCTGGGATTCCAAGACCCTCTGACTCCATGACTCACGATACTAGGCTGTATCATCGTCTCCTACCACCAGCCCTCTACTTACACTTGAACTATATTTAAATTCATCCTCTGTGTTTACTGGAGACCATGGCATCTAGTGCTTGGCATAAAGTAGATATTCATTCAACATTTGCTCAATGTTGGCATCAGTTCACAGTCTTCCTCTCCATCCCCAACCCCTGCTGCCATCTCAGATGCCCTTGAGATCTGTTAAGAGATCCTTCCAGCATCTCTTCTTCCAGAATCTCACTTTACCTGTTTTCATAGCCTTCTCTTCCATTCCAGGAACTCACATTTATGGCCACAGTTTGCCCCTGCCAACATTTACCTCTGAAACCTTGACTTCAAAACATTGTCCATCTGACCACAACCTCGTATTCTGTCTCCTCTCCCACTCCCCACAGGACTGATCCAAACCACCACCACTTTTCTCAAGTCCTGTTCCACATCTGTTCTGTCGCTATGCCACCGGTCTCACCTCACATAGTAAATGTTACCACATATAAATTATTCTCAGATTCCCTCCAGCTTCTGACCTGGCCATTCACTTCCACAGTTAACTATATTTCCATCTATTATTATTTCTTCTCTTGTGGTCCCTTAGGAAGAAAAGCTTCTTTTCAAAGCTGATCCTTCCACTCTTGAAACCTGTGATCATCTGCTTGAAATAGTACGTATTTCAGCAACCTCTTTCTTCTATCACTCCACCTCTAAAGTTACCTTGTATTTGCCAAACCCAGTGAACTTGTAGTTACTCAACTTTGTGTTGATATATCTAAAGCGTTTCACAAGTTTGGCCATATCTTTTCACTTAGAACCCTCTTCTCTGTCATCTAAACTGCACCCACCTTGAATTTTACTCTTCCCTCTACATTCACCCTTGCAGGAAGTTTTCCCTGGATCTTTCACCTTTTTCATTCTTTTTTCTTTTTCTTTTTTGAGACAGAGTCTTGCTCTGTTGCCCAGGCTGCAGTGCAGTGGCTTGATTTCGGCTCACTGCAACCTCCACCTCCCGGGTTCAAGCGATTCTCCTGCCTCAGCCTCCTGAGTAGCTGGGATTACAGGCACGCACCACCAGGCCCAGCTAATTTTTGTATTTTTAGTAGAGACGGGGTTTCACCATGTTGGTCAAGCTGGTCTCAAACTCCTGACCTCGTGATCCACCCACCTCAGCCTCCCAAAGTGCTGGGATTACAGGCGTGAGCCACCACACCCGGCCTGTTCATTCTTTAAATACAGGCGTTCTTGGGGAATTCATCCTGAATTCCCTTTTTTTTCTTGCTCTTTGCCCACTTCTTGGGTCACAGTACCTACTCACATGGCTTCTACTGTATCTGTGTCCATATCATCACTCCCCCATCAATATCTCCCTTGTCCTCTCCCTTGAGCTTCAAACCCATATATCCAACTACACATGGAAACCTCCACCTTGATGGAGGGCCTCGACCTGCTCCAGACCCTGTGCAGTCTCTTCCCCAGCACATCCACTTGGCACCTGAATTATGCAACTCACTTGTGGCCCCACAATCCATCTAGCTGAGACTCAGGCATGTGAGGCAATAGACCATGATCTGACATACATAGTGTTTTTCCTTCTGTCACTGAGATGGGCTGAGCAAGGGCTGGGTTTGCTGTGGGATCGACTGCAATAGTTAGCTGTAAAGTAAATGACCATAAAGAGTAAAGGAACTTTAACCTGAAAAGGAGGTATTTCCAGCTAGGATAGAAGTTATGTTGTTATTATGAAATTGACTGGGAGGTAGGGTTCTCTAGGGTCTTGCAAAGAGAAAGAGATAGAAATTGGGAAGCGATCTCTGGCATTTAGCAGCAGGAGGCCTATGTCATTAAATTACACCAGTGAAACTCACTCTTTTAAGTTCTATACAGTTTGGAAAATATAGTTTGAGTACCTGTATATTGAACTCTGGGATGGGGTAAAGAAAGAACAGATTACGGTCAAGTTTTCCACCACTACCACTACCACCACCACCTCAATCCTTATCACCTACCAGATGTGACTTGTGAAAAGCAAAGAGAACTTTATGTTTGTAAATAGAGATCAAAAGTAGCTAAAGCCAAGCAGACCTACAGAAAAGTCATAGACTAGCAAGATCAACATTTTGGTCTCTACTTCTGTCTTTTTGAATATCGTGATTTAAATGTTCTGCCTTTGTCCTATTGTAGACATTTCTATAATGACGATAGCTATTATTTTGGTACCCCATACTAGCCACAGGTAAGTCAAGTGGCTGAAGTTGCAGACGAGGTACCACAGCACCCCTCAAGGCAGGCCAGTCTGAGTACTCTGAAAGCAGCCTCTGCGTGTGGCTGGCCAGCCCAGCTGAGGTCTGATTGGTGGAATTGCTTCATGATCTGATTGATCCAAATTTTAGGCAGTGATGACATTTACAAAAGTGTGCATTGCAGTGACTATTCCTGCTGTGATGTCATGGCAAGAAAATTGTATATGGAACGAAGCACTTTGCTCTTGATTAAATATGTAGTTCAACAGATTATGCAAATAATGTATCCCCAAACACATCTCCAAGTAAAATGGACTGAAAATGTGTGAACCTGTATATTATAGCTGAGGCGGTATGAATGCCATTTCATATGTGCAAAGGTGGAAGCAATATCACATTTTAAAGCCACCCCTCCTGCAAGCTGTAGAGAATTTAGCCTCAGTCTTCTTGGGGGTTTCTCCCAGAGTAGGGCAAATTCATTTGTTTATACAGATCAGCCTAAGACAGCCCAACTGCATATGGTCCTTTGGGGTTCATTGCTTCTGGCTGCTTCTGGGGCAAAGTGCTATTTACCAAGCCTGGAACCCAGGCAGCCCTTCTCCTCTGATGCCTACCAGGATTAGGGTCCTGCTGCTGACCTTTCAGCCCCTACTTGATTTCTATCGATCCTTTCTTTAGTCTCTCTTTTAGGGTTTCCCTTGGTAGCAGTCTCCCTTGAGGTCACTAGGCTTCCTCTCCTCAGTGAGCTTAGATTTTGGGAAGCAAAAGGCAGAAAGGGAAGTATTTTGCAAGCAACTCCTGCTTTTTATTCTATCAAGAACTTCCCTTGAGGTAAGAAGGCACAGAGCCTCCTCCCTGCCTAAATGGTGATGGGAAAGAAGAGGACACAGAGGAAAACTATCAGTTTGTATCTCCAGAACTTACTCTGCCATTTAGAGTTTCCATGGGTGTGCACTTGAGTGAGTGACAGATCGGTTACCTACAGGAAAAGTAAGATGAGATTGTTTGGGAGACAGCTCTCAGATGGTGTCACAGCCTGCTGTTACCACTATTCCTGATGAAACTGTCATTTGGCAACAAAAGTAGATCCTGCCTTCTATTCCAATGCAAGATCTGTGTCTTATAGGAGTACTTTTCCACATATATTATTTAATCTGAGTTCCTTTAACCCTCTCATGAGAAAGGCTGTATGATCCCCATATCAGCCAAGACCAAGACTCTTAAGAAGCGAAGCCATCTAGCTAGTGTGAGGTGGGGCTGGGATGTGAACCTGTGTCTATCCGGCTCCTGGTCTCTGTGCTCCTTGCAACTCGGACAGCACACTGGCACACTGGCTCCCTTCCGTCTCCCCACACACACAACAGAGCTGTCCACCGCAAGGCTCAGAGCTCAGGCAGCCAGGCGGGCATCCTTTCACCTCTCTCCTCAGCCCATGAGTCTTTGGCTGTGCTGCTATTTTACATGGAGCCTCCTTTTCCCACCCAAATCCAGCTCAAGCTGCCTCCCTCATGACTCACCATCCAGAGGACTGTGAACTATGTCTCCCTGTCCTTCTCCAAATTAACCATCCCTCTCTAGTGACCCTTACCTCGCCTCCCTCATACTTTGGGATTTATACACATGTCTCATGTCCCCCAGTACTCTAGAGGCTCTGAGGTGGCATGACCATGTCTGATTTATTGCTACACTCCCAAGAAACATGGTCTGATACCTAGGAGATACATAAGAACTGTCCATGGAATGGAAGAATGAACAGATAGATGAGTAAATGAATGTACGTATGAAAAAGGGAATAAATGAGTGAATGAACTAATGAAATGAAAGTGAAAACCCATAGAGGATGGCAAGAATGCCAAGCAGCCATTATACAGAGTGATGAGATAGGATTCACTGCAAAGCATGCTGGAGAGAAGAAACACTGAGATTAAGATGATTCCAAAATGCAAATATGGCTGCAGGTCTAGGGAACTGAAAAACACTCTTTATGTCCCACTAGCCCCATGTTTCACTCTGGACTTACTTTATGGGGAAGTGGTATACTGGTTTCTGGAGCTCACTTTCATAAAGCCCTAGCCCTTCCTCCTGTTCATTAATAAACAGTTACAGGACAACAGCACTATAATAGGTAATAATTCTGGTGTACCCACCATGTGCCAGGCATTCTTCCAAGTACCTCATTCAATTCTCACAACAATAAGATGAGACATAGACTGTTATTTATCTGATTTTACAGATGAAAAAATGGAGGCTTAGAGAAGTCAAATACTTTTCTTAATGTCACTCATTTAATAAATGGCAGAACTAGAATTCAAACCCATGTTATCTGACTTCAGAGCCATCCCTCCTAATCACTCTCCCATCAAGCAGCACATTCCTATGGCCGGCTGGCTAGGAGACTAAGTTTCCATTCATTGAGCACTTGCTCTGTGATTCACCAAACATGCTGTAGACATTCAATCCACAATAACCTCATGACTGAAGGACCAGACCATTTTGATCCCCATTTTACAAACAAGGACACTAAGGTTTGTGTGACCAAGTGATGCCACTAGAAAATGACAAAGCTGGGATTTGAACCCAAGTTGGCTTATTCCAAAACCAATGCTGTTTACCACACTATTCTCTATCCCAGAAGAAGCACTCATTTTCTTTCTCCTTCAATAAATGGTCACGGGGTCCAAGAAAGAGACCTATATTTGAAATCAGGTTATTTGTGTTCCAGTCTTGGTTCTTCCACTTGGGTCTGTACCTTGGGCACGTCCTTTAACACCTCTGAGCCTCAGTTTCCTCATCCATCAAATGGAGCCAATCATGCCACATTACAGAATTATTGTGAGGGTTAAATGAGAAGCTAATGCTGATGAAAGCACTGTGTAAACTTTTTCTCTCTGAGGTAGAAAGAAGTCAATAGATATGATTATACTTCTCCTGGGAGTGAATAAAATGAGTCTCACAGAGATGAAGTGAGTAGTCTAACAATCTCACAGAGAGTCGTTCATTAGAGCAGGAATGAAGCCCAGATGTCCCTAGGCAGAAGTCCATGTGCCTTTTGCGAGGTGGCCAAGGATCATTATTTTGCACGGGTGAGACTCTGCCAGCCCCAGAGTGCTTCTTCAGTTTCGACGCACACCATCTTTCCCCCATCCTACACCTCCTTAGCTCTTTCTGGGCCCCTTGACAGTCAGGGTAAAAGTCTTTTTCCGTCTTTCCTAGGCTTAACTGTAAAATTATGTGGTCTTATTGTGTTAGAGAGTTCTACCCAGGATGAGCGATGCTGAGAGAAGGCAGCGTGAGCCTGGTCAGGCACGCTTGTCAAGAGCTTGAGATGCTCTGTTAATGAATGTCATTTTGGAGCTGGTTGGGATTAAGCCATTATCTGTGTGATCTTCACCTGACTCTTGATGGACCAAAATTCATACATTCCAATTCTGTGCTTAACTAGGAAGGCTTTACAGCTCCTTTCTCCTCTAGAATCTTTTCAATCTCCGGGACCTATTATGCAGCAATTTTGCTTTCTCCAATTTCATTTTCACTTTCAAAGTGAATGTCATTTGTCAGGCAAACCACATATTCTTTGGATCCCTATCTGCTAAATTATTTCTGAACTTGACTTTTTTGGGCCCCCATTCTGGCTGACCTAAATTCTTCTCTGTCTTCTACCATTTCTCCCTTCTCTCTGAAGGCAGCCATTTGTGGCTTCGTTGCCTAAAGAAGCTGTTTCTGGAAGCACTTATCTGTTACCCCAGTTGGAAAGTTATCATTTGTATCTAAATTAGCTAGTGTGATCTTTTATCTGAACTCCAGGCAGAGCTGATCCTTTGTATGAGAACTACCCATCAGGTTTCAGACCCATCTGCAGCATCATTCTCAGATGACTTACTTTGGAACTAAGATTTAAGTCTTCAGTGTTTCTAAATGTAAAGATTGTCAGTGTAGCCACTTTTCAAAAGAACTTGACACTCTCACAAGGGTGATACCTAAATCTCAATTAGGCCATCTCCTGCCCAAGCTCATCTCAGAAGCAATGTCATGCATGGACCCCTGGTGTTTCTGTCCTAATGTTGCCAACTGTAGACAGAATGCCTGATAGAGGGAAACAGTTCCACAGTAGCAAAGAATGATTTCATACAATTCACCTTCAGGGTTAGCAGCAAAGAGATTTTGCAATGAAATCGGAAATGTTAACACATGTCAAAAATGATCTCACAAGAGGGCTGGCAGCCTTGCTCTGCCCAATGTTGGACATACCATGGATAGAGCATTGGGCTGGAGTTTGAAGTACCCCAAATCCAGAGGACATGACCACATGTCAATTTTGCAGAGAATAACAAAGATCATGAAGAGGCCAAACTGCATAAAGGTTGGTTAAAAGAACTGGAATGTTTAGCCTGGAAAGGAGAGACTTTTGTGGGGATAAGCAGGGTGGAAAATTCTGTCTCAGACTCCTGTTTTATAAATTAGAAACCTGAGACTTAGCACAAACCCAGGGAATAACCAGAGTGAACATTTTAAAGAATAAATGAGATCACTTTGCTTTGCTGCCTAAAACCATCCAATGATTTCCCCACTGATGTTAGAATAAAGAGCCAGCCCCAAGCCATGGCCTCCAAGACCCCACATGGAGGCACTGGTCCCTCTGTGTTGGGTAGAGAATCAGTTAAGCTATACAATCAAGAGACTCCCAAATATCAGGTAGAAGTTTATTTCTCTACCTTGTTATACATGGCACCACAATTTGCAGACCAGGCCAGGCCTCAATAAGGTGCAGTTAACAGACACTGTCAGCTGACACTTCAGGAACATACCAGGGAATGAAAAGGAGACCCTGGCCTACTTCACATACATGATGAAGAGTAACAAGAAGAGACTGGATTAGAAACTGGAAGATGGTATGTAGCTCCAGTGACGATGAAGCACATCTTAAAGGAATGAAGCAGAATGCACAGGTGATATCTGCTACATTTCAGTCCATAAAGACTTTTTTTCCCCGTACATAGCTCACTATAACCTTGGACTCCTGGGCTCAAGAGATCCTCCCACTTCAGCCTCCTGAATAGCTAGGACAACAGGTGCATGACATGAGACCCGGCCAATTTTTTAATTTTTTGTGGAGACGGTGAGGGGGGTGGGGTGTCTCACCATGTTGCCCAGGCTGGTCTTGAACTCCCCACCTCAAGTGATCCCCCCATCTTGGCCTCCCAAAGTGCTGGAATTACAGGAGTGAGCCACCCCTTCTGGTCTGTTAAATTTTATTGTAAATAAAATAGTGTGAATAATGAAAATTAGTCACAGATGAGTGGTGAAGGGAAGGCAGGCAGTCTCTGTCATCCTTAGAAGGGAGCTTCTGTATCTGGGTGCAGGTGGCTCCTCCAAGCTCTTTCACTTTTCAGAGTCTGCTTAAGGGGTTCCTTGGGGCATCCGTTGCCCACCCTATCTAAATGAGCTTACCCAGCATATATTTTGTCTTAGCTCAGCATCCTGCTTGTTTCTTTCACAGCACTTACCACAATTTATACTTGTTTATTTATTTATTAGATTTAATTATTTTTATCTATCCTTCCTCCCCTTCCTACACTGCTAGACTGATAGTCTCCATAAGGGTAGAGTAGGAATCTTATATGCCTCATTCATTACTGTATTAGTTATCTGCTACTGCTTAACAAATTACCCCAATACAGAATAGCTCAAAATAATAAACATTTGGCTGCCTCATCCCAGGCTGAGCACCGCGCGCAAAGCCGTGCAGAGATTGGAGGCCGTGTGGGTCCCTGGTCTGGGCCATGTCTGGCTGTGACGCCCGGGAGGGAGACTGTTGTTCCCCGAGATGCGGAGCGCAGGACAAGGAGCATCCAAGATACCTGATCCCAGAACTTTGCAAACAGTTTTACCATTTGCGCTGGGTCACTGGGACTGGAGGAGGAATTGGCTTGAGGCATGGCGGTGAAATCTACATTGCTCCTTCAGGAGTGCAAAAGGAACGAATTCAGCCTGAAGACATGTTTGTTTGTGATATAAATGAAAAGGACATAAGTGGACCTTCGCCATCTAAGAAGCTAAAATAAAGCCAGTGTACTCCTCTTCTCATGAATGCTTACACAATGAGAGGAGCAGGTGCGGTGATTCATACCCACTCTAAAGCTGCTGTGATGGCCACCCTTCTCTTTCGAGGATGGGAGTTTAAAATTACCCATCAAGAGATGATCAAAGGAATAAAGAAATGTACTTCTGGAGGGTATTATAGATATGATGATATGTTAGTGGCACCCATTATTGAGAATACACCTGAGGAGAAAGACTTCAAAGATAGAATGGCTCATGCAATGAATGAATACCCAGACTCCTGTGCAGTACTGGTCAGACGTCATGGAGTATATGTGTGGGGGGAAACATGAGAGAAGGCCAAAACCATGTGTGAGTGTTATGACTATTTATTTGATATTGCCGTATCAATGAAGAAAGTAGGACTTGATCCTTCACAGCTCCCAGTTGGAGAAAATGGAATTGTCTAAGCCAAAAGAAAGTCTAATTATATACAGAGATAAAGTTAAACATAATTATTATTTAAATGAAAGCTATTTTTTTAAATGAATTGAAATTTTTCATGACGCTACTAATTTGCCATTAAATACTGCAAATGGTCACCCTGAATCTCTTCTGACATTGGATGTTATTTGCTTATATTCTTATAATTTTAAATGAGGGGACAGTGAAATGAAAATTTTATACTCTATGTTTCTGTTTATTTTTAAATCCTTAACAGCAAAATATTTGCCTTTAATTTCTTTTTTATATATACTCTCAGAGAATTCCTCTTAATTTTTAAAGATGCTGGTGATAATAAAATTCATTGGAAAATTTCAAAAAATAATAATAATGATAATAAACATTTATTATCTCACAGTTTCTGTGAGTCAGGAATTTAGAAGCAGCTTTTCTGGATGGCTTTGGATTGGAGTCTCTTAACATCAAGGAAGATGTCAGCTGGGACGCAGTTATCCAAAGGCACAGCTGGGGTGGAAGGATCCAAAAAGGCTCACTCACCTGGTGCTGGTTGTCAGCAGAGGCCTCGGCTCCTTTCCACAAGGAGCCTCTCCAAGCACTGCTTGAGCATCTGCACAACATGGAAGCTGGCTTCTCCTGGAGTAAGCACTGCAAGAGAAAGCAAGGCAGAAACCACAGTGTCATTTATGACCCAGTCACGGAAGTCGCACACTATGATTTCTGCACTATCCTATTGGTTACATAGGTCAGCCCCATTCATTGTGGGAGGGGATCACACATGGATGTGAATGTCAGGAAACAGGGATCACTGTGGGCCATCTGGAAAGCTGGCTACCACAACTACTCTTTCCCTTAGCAGCCAGTGTCATGCTGGCAAATGGTAGGCACTTAATATATGTTGGCTCGATGAATGAGTGAAGGGGGACAGCTCAAGTCAACTCGATATTATCAAGATTAGTAGCTGGAGTCAGCCTTGAAATCAGGTTTTCAGTCTCTTAGTGCTCTCTCCCTATACCACACTGTCTTCTTTATGACTTCTCCTACCATGTGCCCCCTTTTCCAATACTCGGACACACCGCCTTATCTTTCCCAGCCTGTACCAGCCTGTACACAACCTGATAATGGCTCATCTGGCAAAAAAAAAAAAAGAATCATGCATTACTGAAATATGTCTTTGCTTTAGTACCTGGAGGAGAAAGCAGGGCCCTGGGAGGGGATGTGAGGGCCTGACAGATGCCATAAGCAGCATTTGAGAGTCTAAGGCAGCGGTTTTGAAACCAGCATGCGGGAGACTCAGCAGGGAGTTTGGTAATGCGTCCAGGTTAGAACCCAAGAATCTTCAGTTAGGCAGGTTTGTGGGGAGTTCTGATTGCTGGTGGGTGAACAAACAATCCCACTCCTCCAGCTCTTTTGTACCACTGGGGTCACGCTTCTGGAGGGTATCTGTGGAGGGGTGGAGTTGGAGAGACAAATCCCAACCATAAACCTGTCAAGGTAAGAGGATTCACACAGGCTCGCTAGGAAAGAGACAAGGGGAGCGTGGGTGGAGGTGGGTGGGGATGGGATGTGGGGTGGTAAGAGCAACAGGGCAAAGGTTCCTTAGTAGTGCGTTTGTGTAACATTGGAGTGCTGTTTCTTAGGTTTTTTTTTTCTTTTTTCTTTTTGCAGGGGCTGTGTGTGTATGTAAGTTAGCTCCTTCAGTATCCAACTGGGAATTTGATTCATTTAACTTGTTCAGAATCAGTTGCAATAAACCAGGTGGTTTTGCATTGCTCATGCAAATCACTTTCTCCTCACACATGGCTACAGTCCCAGCTGCCAAAATGTTGTCATGTTCTTGTCTTCAGAGCCTTAATAAGAAGAAAAAATACAGTCTGGAGTGTATATGTGCTCAACACTCTCCCTGGTTATCACTGAGCCTCTGTGGCCACTACTAAGCTGTCAACAGCTAGTTAGCTCTTCCTGAGCCAGAAGAAGAGGCGTGGGGCCATGGGTGAACTAAAGGGCCAGGAGCTCCAGCTGTCTAGGCCACAGATTCCACCAACTACTCCATATATCTCTTATTAAAGCCACAGAACCTTGGGTATGAGGACTAAAATCCCAAATTCTGCTTCTGTCTTTGTATTTCTGACTAGATTTGGCCTCAAACCAATGGTATCATGGTTCTCTAATTCTTATGAGAAGCAGGTGAGGCAATCAGAGTCACAATTCCCAGTTGATTTTCTTTCATGGTGCAGAAAAAGACAATATTGGGAGTAAATATAAAAGATTATTTGTGACCAAAAAATGACCTCTAGAGAGTTCTGACGACCCAGCCTCTGTTCATCGACCCCGTGGCTAAAGAATCAATATCTCCATGGTAAACTGGTTGACTACACACCCACAGTAGTGGCCCTTCCAGAGAGACAATTATACTTCCTCATGCCGTGGACTCATATGTAGCCATGCGTCTTGCTTTGGCCAATGAGATGCAAGCAGAAGTGACATGTCACTGCCAGGCGGGATCTTCAGGAGCCAGAGCACATTCCGCCTTGCTCATTACTTCTGCTGCAGGGACTAGCAAAGCTCCAGATCATCTTGGAGTAGAGACAGTTTGCAGCAGAGCCACAGCCAGCTTACAAGAGGCCTATCAGATGAGCAAGGAACGAACTTCTTTTGTTTTAAGAGTTAGGGGGTCATTGTTCCCACAGTAAAACCTCTCCCATCCTGACTGTATGGTGGCACAGCTAATGGGATCCTTTGACCTCAAGGACAGCTCTTGCTAACTGGAGAGTGCCACAGAAATGTTGGTCACCCACATGTGCAAGCACAGTCAGACTATAATTCATTTGTTTGAGTTTCTATCATCTCTGTCCTCTTTGGGGTTTGTCTTTATCCCAGGCTAGTAAAGAGACGACTGGAAATTCCAGTTATCATATTCATATAAAAAGAGATGGCTCTTTCTGTGTCTCTTTCAGAGAGAATTAAAATTTCACAGAAACTGTTGGATCTTCTGTAGCATACAATCATAATTAAGACAAAAAGCATGGCTGTGGAGTCCCACAGTCTAGGTTCAAATGCTGACTCTCTCATATAGTGGGTGATTTCAGATAACGGAGAAAATCTCAGTTTCCACATCTGTAAAATGGGAATAACAATAAGGCTTCACTCAGTGGCTCACTGCAATACGTGTAAGGGTTTTTGGTCTGGCACCTGGCACATCGCTCATACTCTGTTCATGCTAATAGTGGACGTCTGACATGCTCATGTTCTCTCATCCTATAGCTTTTCATTAGAAATCTTTTAATATTATGAGTCCCACCTTAGTCTCCCTTGCAGCAAATTTATCTGCTGCAGTCAACCTTGACCCAGAATTGTACAGGGAAGGAAAGTCTGAAAAGCCCACGTCCAGCTTAGCTGAGTTGACACAAAACACAGCTATCACAGGCTGGAACGGTAGGTTAGGCTGTGCGGCCAAAACAGGGATTTTGAGGGGACAGACTAAAGTCTTAGAAAGTTTCTGTTTTATTTTTAAGTACGAGGGGCTTGATCAGATTTGCATTTAAAAGATCTCTTCGGTGTCAGGGTAGAGAATGGATTGGCAGGTGGGAGACAGGAAGCAGGAAGAACTGATTGTTGCAGTATTCTGTAATTTTTTCTAAGGTGTGCTTGAAATCCTTGTGGAAGAAGCTGAGATGAGAATCCAAAAGCAAACAAATGCTAGGGTAATTTCAGTTCTAATTATCTATGATATGATACAAACATGAAATATATGTACACATATCAGATTAGGATACTTCTTTTTTTCAAGAGACATTCAATCCACTTAATTAGTTTCCCAAAATGTGATACTGGTATTGATTTAATTCTGAAGTTTTTCCACTGGCAATGTAAGTGTGTAAAATGATCAGAATAAGTCACTTATATTTTCTCCTCATATGCAGGGTAAAATAAAAGCTGTGAAGGACTGATTCTACTTGCCTAGAACCAAAGAGCATGAATTTAGTTCCCAAAAAATACCTTCAGAAGTAGGACAGAAGGAAACACTCACCCATGGAACACGCCTTGGCACTGATTGTCCGTGGGCTCCCCTTGGTCTCTCAGCCTTTTTTGTGACTGCTTGGACAAGTGCATTTAGTTCTGGCCAATGGACTGTGAACAGAAGTGACATGTCCCAGTCTGAGCTGAGGCAGCTTGGGGCTGTGGTGCCTTCCTCAGTTTTCTCTTTCCTACCGTGGTGACTCGGAGGCCACGCGTTCCAGGTTCCCCATCACAAATTTCAGGACCCTCAAAATCAGTTTCTCATCTGCAAAATGGGAATAATAATGTCTATTTTACAGGGTTGATAGGAGGAGTTAAAAAGGTCTCCCAGGGGAAAACCTGTAGCACAGTTTCCAGCACACAAAAGGCATTCAGTACCTGAACCGTATATTGCCACGTCCTCAGAAGGGAAACTCCCTACAGATAATGGTGAAGGACTCAGCACCAGGAAATTGCCTTGCAGGACACATACAGCCTTTAAAGTTTTCTTTGTATGTAATAAGAACACTTAACTTCAGATCTACCCTCTTAACAAATTTTAAATACAGCAACGTTAACTATAGGTGCAATGCTATACTGCAGATCTCTAGAACTTAATCATCTTGCATAACTGAAATTTTATACCCATTAAACAAAAACTCATCTTCCCCTGCCCCAGTCTTTGGCAACCACCACTTGACTCTGTTTCTATGTGTTTAACTATTTTTGATCCCTCATATAAGTGCAATTAGACAGTATTTGTCCTTCTGTGACGGCCCATTTCACTTAGCATAATGTCCTCAAGATTGAGCCATGTTGTAGCATGTGGCAGGATTTCCTTCTTTGTTGATACTGAATAACATACAGCCTTTTGATAGTGATCAGAGAGAAATTTGCGTTTTCTATTCTCTTAAATCCTTCATGTTTAGCTTAAAAATTATACACGTAATTTATGTTAGTGATAAAAAAACTTGGAAAATACATATAAATCGTAAGCGGGGGGAAGAAACCTCATAATTTTGACAGCAGAGATACTTGATGTTTTAGATGTGTCATTCCATATAGATAAGTACCTATAATCGCTTATTACACAGCTGCATAGTATTTCATTGTGTGGACATAGCCCAGATTGTAGGTGGTTTCCAAATTTTTGCTATTGCAATCAATACTGTGATCTTCAATGCTGAAATAATCACAAGGCAAAGTTTTATTAGCTCTGCTATCTAATTCCTTTCCCCACTTCTAACTCTCCTGTTTGTCCCTAGTATAAATAATTAAAATGTTTTCCAGTCATACCTTTCTAATTATTTATTAATGGTTCCTAAGTCAAAAGATCATTGCTGGGATTAATTACAACAGAGACACTTGTTCGCACAAACCTAATCCTCATTTCCTATCAGAAACTACGCATGAATCTACAGACTGAACTTCACAGACCAGACTGATCTTTTACAACAAACAGATGCCAAGCAGGATCTTCTTTGGTATGGAGAGAATTACATCATTACTTAATAATTTAGACAGGAGAAAATTAGCTCCAAAATAAGGGAATTTGGGTATAAAAGCAGTTTGCTAAATTATTAGCAATGCTGCAAAGCAGAAGGAGTATGAGCTTGGAGTCAGACAAATGAGATTGTTTGACCCTAATCCTTATTTGCCGTGTGCTCTTGAGCAATTTACTGAAGTTCTCTGGGCCCCAGCTTCTTTATAAAATACTTAACTAATATCTATGCAGGGTGGTTCTAAAGATTAAAATAATAATAAAGAACATCAACTACATTTTTACCATACATTAACAGAGAAAGAAAGTAAACTCCCATTTTTTCCATGCAGAAAGCCACAGAAGGGCACCAGGAGTGACATTTTCCTCCTTGATGGTTAAGACATGGAGAATGGCTAGAGTCAAGGTCTCCAACTAAGAAGCAGCTGTCTCTTAGTCCAATTCTATCTTTGATATCTCAGACCAACAGAGTTCTCCACTAATAGAATGGCCAAAGAATTTACATCCACATTGAGACACTTTTGAGATGTAACTGGGGCACTGTAAATAGTTACCAGGAACAACAGGTGTGAACTTGACCTCTTCCAGGCAGAGTGGCCACCCTAGTATTAACCAAGTAAGGACCAGTCTATATAAAGCAAGTGGGGAAATCAGGTCACTTCATTTCAAAGTACTCATTAGAGCTGTTGCAGTTATTCCCATGTGACTGAGAAAAAAACAATTAAGTCAGACACAGACTGCAGTATGCACAAAGTTTATTTGACCTGTCCAGAACAACATTTAGCACCATCTCTTTGAATGACCATTCTGTTATTAGTGTTCTTCTAGGAGCTAAGCAAACTTCTTTCTCTCTCCCATAAATCTTCATGTGTAATTTTATAAGATTTGTGGCTTTTTTCTATTTATTTTACATTTTTACACATTGAGTATATGCCAAGCTCTAGCCTAAATTTACTGGAACTACAAAGATGGGTGAGCCATAGTCTCTGCTTTCAAAAAAACTCACAGTTAAGCCAGGGAGACAAATGAGGAAGCCATTAACAAAAATAGACAATGTTATCAATTCCGACATGGAAGTGTGTGCAAGCACTATGGAACACAGAAAAGAGGGTGATTAACTCTTCTCTAGAAAGTATCACTGAAGTGGTCATGTTTGAGACAACTCAAATAACATTTTCTAAGTGAAGAAGTGTGAGAAGTACCTTACATGTGCAGGGTTCAGGAAGCTTGAGAGTGTGAGATGTGTGAGGATCTGTTCCACCTGCAGTGTGGCTGGAGCTTACTGTGAAAGAGGGTGAAGCATTGGTTTCTAAAGTCTCTCTGGGTTCCTACAGTCCTCCCCAGCAGTGAAAACCAAAACTGAGCAGTCTCCTAGCTCCTGCCACCTCTTCAACAGAACTTCCAATGGCCCTAGGACTTCAATACATTTTCTTTGAACTTCCTTAATAGTAATGTTACTGTCTCTCTCAATATCTTAAAGTGTGTGTTTTCATGAATGTGATGCTACATGTCCACTAAACTCTACCAGATTTTTGCCATGTTTTTGTACTAGTGAAAACTTTGTGAATGGACGCCATGCTCTGACCTTTAAAACACTCTTGTGTAATTGATTTTTAGATGAGTTTTTCCTTACAGGATTCAAAACTGGTACATTCATATGGGAAACCAATGTAAAACCAACACCCTCTACTGAGTTTGCATCCTTTTATAAGTGTTTTTCTGCTATAATTTCAGTAGGGTATTAAAAAAATGTGATTCTAAATAATTCTGACCTCTTTAGGAAGACAACAAATGGTGTATTTGATTCAAAGCATTTCCCATGGTTGTTTAAAGACAAGTAAGAAAATGAGTAGTCCAGCCATATGGAGATGGGATAACTCAAAGGCAGGCCCATCTCAGAGGGCCCATTCACTCAGCAGCAGACAGAGTGTTCTAACAGAGGAGAGCAGGGTGAGGAGAGAGCCCTTGGGTTTGAGGTTAGAGGGAAGAGATGGAAGGTTGTCCAAGAGTTTTACAAATGGGCCTCTATGAGCCTCTATTAGGCTTCTTGCTTTATAAGTAACAGAATCTCAATTTAAACTAGGCTCAAGAAAAAGAATCCTTTTTAAATGATCCACTCGTTATCTTAGCTGAAAAATTCTGAGGTAGGACTGATCAGACATGCGTGAATATAGATACTCAAAGGATATCGTTGCAATGTATCTGTATCTCTCAGCTCTGCTTTCTTACTTGTCACCTTCATTCTCAAGCCACTTCTCCTATCATGCTGACAAAATGGCGGCTCACTGGTTCATAACTCTACAGCTCAGCAAGCTTGGTGGAAAGAGAGCTTCTCTTTGCCAAAAGTTTCAATGAAGTCCTCGGATTGAGTCTCATTGAACCAGCCTAGGTCATGTGTCAGAACCTGAACCAATCACCACATGCAGGGCATGAAATAAGCTGATGGGCCAGGGCTGTGTCATCCCACATCTTAGATGAGGGGTGGAGGGTAGGAGTCAGGCAACTCCAACTGGGCTGGTGGGCTGAGCTACAGAGAGTAGCAGCTCACCTATGGTGATGAATGGCTCACTCTTTCCCAAGTCTGTTTCTCTTCTCCCTAATTACACATTCTAATGATAGTTCCTAGCCTCTTGACACGTGTGACCATGTAACTGGGGTCCAATGAGTGGAAAGTGAGGAAAAGTAATATGTATTGCCTCTAGGCCCATCAAACTTTGCAAGCTGTGAATGAAAGATAGCAGAAACACAAAATCGAAAAGAAGTCTAGGTCCCTAAATCTTTACCACATGGAGGAAAACTGCCCACCAAACATCCATTGTGAATATTCTATCATGTTGAAAACATTATACATTTTGCGAATTTGTTATAGCAGCTAACATTATCTTCACTAATAAGGAACAAATTAAAAAAAAAAAGACATTTGTAAACTGAACAGGCAAAACAGCTCATGTCTACTACAAAGCTTCTATGCCTTTAGTGCTGAAGATTTCAGACACCCTGATGGGTTTAATCAGTCAGTTACCATGGCTTGATGGAAGCACTGGTCAAAGAGTCAAAAGATAGGGTTCAAAAGACTCTGCTACTGATGACTGTGTGACCCCAGGCATGTCACTTCTCTCTGACCTTCATTTTCCTCATCTGCAAAATGGCAACTGCAATATCTGCTTGACTGCTTGACTGTAAGAATCAAATACAATTATGTGAGTTTGAGTGTGATGTAGACTATATAAAGCCCTGGGCTGGCCTGTAAACAAACCAATAACCTGACGCTGTCAGAAGCAATGAAAAGCATGCGGATTTGCCCAGTTGGTCAGAGCAAAGCATTAATGAGTCTATTTGGTCTCACACAGAAAAATATTTTGTCTCGTTCATAGAACCATAAAAATTAGCACCAGGCTAGGCTTTAGGAAGAAAAACCTAAGCAAGATATATAATACATCCTACCTTGGGGAGAGAGACAGCACAGCTGTGACCGAGTCTGCTATAAGACAAGCTTGAAACCTTCCTCCCTTCTCACCATTTTCTTCCATTCTCACTCAAATCCTACCCTCTATACTCAGAAGTTGGCTTCTTTGTTTGTTTATGTCTTCCTAAACTAGTCACTCCTCAGGCTTCCTCCCCTTCTCTCTTGAACCAGTAAAATCCAGTCTAGTCCACCTGCCACAAGGCTGCTGAGCAATCCTTCCAAAACACAATCATTCCATTTCTCTGGGCCTAGAAACTTCTGTTTGTTATCCTGCATTCAAGATGCATGGAATTCTTTTACCATAGCTTTCAGGACCCCTAACAATCTGGTCTCAACCTACCCTTTCTAGTCTTATTTACCCCCAGTCCAGGTCAAACAGACCTCTTCTCCACTCATTTCCTGGGTACCCCAGCTGCTTTCGAGACTTTTATCTCTGCCTGGGAGTTCGGAGGTCCAGGCAGCAAATGGAGATAAGGAAGCTCACAAACTCAGAGCTGGAGACATAGATTGGGAATATCTCTATAAAAGGAAGAGCTGAAAGCATAGAGCTGGTGAGCTCAGTGGGCAGTACAGGTGGGGAAGAGAAGGGAAGAGGAGCCTCGAGGAAGTCAGGGAAGGGGGAGGGAGGGAAATCTCGGGTAGACTGGTGTATGAGGAGGCACTGTGAGTGGAAGAAGGAGGCTCCAAGGCAGAGGAAGAACACAAAGACATTGGTGTGGGAGGAGAAATAGAAGCAGGAAGCAGCACAGAGCCCAAGGAAGGAGACAGTGACAAGAAGGAGGGAGGATGACTAGCATCAAATACTGCAGGGAGGTAGGCAGGTAAGGAGAGAGAAGAAGTCTCACTGGTTTGGGCTAGGAGAGAGTCAGAATTTTTTTGTTGGAATAACTGAGGCAGGAGCCAGGAGGCAGTGGGTTCAGGAATGAAGAGGAGATAAGGAAAAGGAGGCAATGGAAGGAGCTGACCTTTCAGGAAGACTGGCTTAAGGTTACTTGGGTCAGCTCTCTAAAAAGCAACCCACTGTGGCTGGCACTGTGGTGCTGGGGGTTGCAGGGAGTCACTGTCTGCCTTATCCTGTGGAGATTTCAGCAGCCACTACCTGTTTCTGATGGCCCAGCCAGGCTGCTGTAGCATGAGCTGTTTTTCACCATCATTTGAAAGGAACCTAACAATGGGTGCTGAAATCTCATGTGCTGCAAAGCGCCTTCCTCCTTCACCGCCACCTCCTCCTTCACTCACGTGGCTCACAGATATCTTCCATAGAGAGCCTCCTGGAGGCCACTTCACACAACTTGCTAACGTAGAAGCCATCCCTGGTGAAGACCATGGACAGAACTCATCCTGAGCACAGGACTTCAGAGGATCAAAACATGGTTCCTCTAGGCTGCAGGTCTGGACCTTCGACAAGTCACATCTCCTGTTGAAGCCTCAATGTCTTCCTCTGTCAAATAGGAACAACAGGTTTTTTGTTTAACCTTAGAAGATAAAGTCAGAAAATGGATGTTAAACCTCACAGAAAATTGTAAAGCTTCCCTGGAGGGCTTGTTATTAACAATGTTCTTCTGATCATGAAAGTGCACATTTGCCTGGAGTTTCCCAGACATGTCATCCTCAACTCCTCTCTTTCTCCCATAACCTGCAGAAAAAATCCTGTTAGCTCTACCTTCTACATACACCATGCTTCCAACCATTTCTCTCCACCTCCCCCACGATCACTGCAGCCCAAGCCATCATCATGGCTCTCTTGGAAAATTGCAATAGCTATGCAGCTAGTTTGGGGACTTACGATGCCGCATTCCCACAGCCTCTTTTCCCTCAAAGCAGTCAGAATGGCCTTTTCCAAAATGTAGCCATCACAGCATCCTTCCCTCAAAACCCTCCAATGGCTTCTCACTGTGTGTGCAAAATAATCTCAAGTCCCTGCTATGCCCTAAAAGGCCCCTGCCCGGTGACCTGCCTTCCGCTGTTCAGAAGCTTCTTGCAGTTTCATGACCACACCATGCTTGTCCCACTCCAAGGCTTCTGCTTTGATGTGGGAGCCACTCCCTTATTTTATATCATGCAGGTCTTCACTCAGCCTCTTCAGAAAGGTCTCCCCAACTATGTTATTTCAAAGCCCTGCTTCCCAGCATGCCAGCCCCATCCGCACCTCAACTCCTTCCCTCTTCATCCCATTATCCTATTTTATTTGTCTTTGCAGAACATTGACGTCATGTTTGCATGTGTTAGTTTCATATCTAACTCCCCCAATGAAATGCAACTTTTGTTAGGACAAGGACTTGCTTCTGTCCTGTTATCCTCAGCACCTAGAACAGTGCCTAATAGGTCGCAGGCCCTGAATAAGTATCTATTGCATGAAAGAATGAATGAAGAAGTGTTCTTCCCACATTTGTCTAGCGTGGCAGTGTCCTAAATTCTGTCCATCTCACTCCACACAGCCCAGCTCCCTATACCAGTAGATGGCTTCCCTCTGAGCCCCTCATCCTGGCAATCTTGACTCCTTGAAAGGGAAGGAAAAGAGCTGTTTGCTTAATTTGATCGAAAGAACTGCTTTTCACTAGTATGGGTGGAACCTTTTGAGTGGCAGCAAAAGGTACAATCTTTATTTATCTTTTAAAATATGACTCTAGTAAGATGTGAATACATTCTCATTGTAAAATATTCCAACCCAGTTGTATACAGAGTAACAAAATTCCTTCCCCTTTTCACACATGCCAACGCCACTCCACATCCCCACCAGACACTACTATCTAATGTTTCCTTGAAGACCCTTTCTTTGCACTGATACGTACTTTGTAGAGAGATACATACAAATTCCCTTTGAAAGAATGGTGTCACACTATGTCTTGTGCTGCAACTTACTCTTAGCAATACACTTTATGGATCTTTGCTTCTCAGTTCACCTAGAACTATGTTCTTTTTAGTGGCTGCCTGGTACTTCTTGGTACAGATGCAATCGAACTTTCTTTAATGCAGTGTGGAAGGAATAGATAGGCCAGCTCTTATTTTTGGCTACTACAAACACTGCTACAACCAACTTCCTTGTTCACACAATGCAGTACACATCAATATGTCTGCAGGAAAGATACCTAAAAGACAAAGAAACAGTCTCAATCATATTCATGAACAGTTAAAAATAGAAATAATTATACTATAGAATAATCTTTTATCAAGAGACCAATCAATAACTCAATTTTCCAAAGAGCGACTATTGAATATAATGATAGGGGAGAGGGAATTTACACTTAATAAGGGCCTCCAAAGTTTTCCATGGGTATTTCACATCCAACCTTACAAGCACCCAGCAGAGTGGGTATTGTTTGCCCTGTGAAACTGGAAGAAACTGAGGCTCAGAGCATGGAGGTGCCACACCCAAAGCCCCCAACTATTAAGTGGCAGAGCCGTGACCCAAACCCAGGCCTGTTTGCAAAGCCCACTATTTTTGCAGTACACCACGGGTTTTCCTTTTCAGCCTCCTCTTTCTGTTCAATAGAAAAAAAAAAATGTGCCATGAAACTTGCTCATCTGCAATCACTCATTCCAATTCACCTGTTGTCTCACCTAAAAACTACCCTCCTGCTTCACGGCTCATCATTAAAACAAGAGGACCATCGGAAGGGTGTGCACCCTCACAGAAAATTCCCTCTGTATCCTTTCTTAGGAGACAGAAGAGAGGCCTCTTTTTGAGGCTGTCTCCTACCTATGAGAACACATTCGTACTGTCTCAGCTTCAGCTGGTGACTGGGACTTCTGAGAGTTCTGCCCTGTCCTGGAGCAGGGAGTGTAGAGGAAAGGGGTCCCTTAGAACCTGCACGTTTAGCCAGTGCAAGCAAACAATTTCTCAGTATCAAAGGATGCTCCAAGATGTCTGGATAGCTTTACTCTCAAATGAATAAAAGAAAACAGAAAAGGTGGCTGGGCTTAGTGGCTCACACCTGTAATCCCAGAACTTTGGGAGGCATAGGCAGACGGATTGTTTGAGGCCAAGAGTCGAGACTGGCTGGACAACATGGCGACACCCCATCTCTACTAAAAATACAAAAATTAGCCAGGCGTGGTGGCACAAGCCTGTAGTCCCAGCTACTGGGAAGGATGAGGCCGGGAGAATCACTTGAGCCTCATCAAGAGGTGGAAGTTGCAGTGAGCCGAGATGGCACCGCTGCACTTTGTCTCAAAAAAAAAAAAAAAAAACAGAAAAGGCAAGGGGGGGGGCCAAACGTTCACCCATGAAGACTGTCTGGGGGACAAAAGCAATTCAAAGGAAAAAAAACTAAATTGTAGATGATTACGCAGAAGCATGGGTCATGGATTTAAGAGAACCCAGCGTGACAGGGCTGGAAGGGGCCTGAAATATCTGCCTGTCCAACATCACGTCCACAGCTCGGGTGTCTTCTGCAGCACACAGGCCTCACTGACAGGGAGCACATGACGGCCCCAAGCACCAAGGTCTGCCTTTGCACATCCCCGCCTGTTCGGGAGCTCTTCCTTCTGGTAGTCTAAAACTGACCTGCCTTTCCTTCCACCTCCTTAGCCCCAGGTCTACTCCCTTGAGACCCCACTGAACAAGCCCAGTCTTGCCTCTCAGAGACAGCCCTTCCAACCCTGAGAAATGCCCCAATTCCCCAGCGTCTGTGACACCTTCACAGCAGGTCTGAAGGAGCTGCAGGATAGAAGCTTTCTTAACAAACAGGTCTAGCCTTTCTGGTTAGGAGAGCTGTCTGGACAAAGAAAACCAATCCCACTTGTCTTTTGAATCTGCAGCCAGATGGGGAAGCAACAATAGCCCCAGGAGAAGTGGGGGAGGACCTGCCTCTTCACATCTTAATGAAGGTGTGAACTTTGAAGCTTTATTATGAACACTTGAAAGCTTACCCCTGGCTAAGCTCCTTTCAGCTGCTCACTGTCACCCTGGATAATGAGGCCGCAGCTGTGTGGGAAGCACTGGGGCAGGAGACGGGGAGACCCAGAGTTATCTGGAGGCAGGAGCCTCGCAAGCCCTGGCAGAAAAGCCACCCTTGGCTGTGGGCACTGCCCCGTGACCAGGCCCTGGGGACTTTCAGGGACAAGGAACTCTCTGTTCAAACCAAAGGAGGGCAGTAACCCCATTAGGGACAGGAGAAAGGCCTGGAGAGTCCTATTCTTTTTTTTTAACCTTCTAGGTAATAAAAATAATGACTCACACCTGGAGGGCACCTTACATCATCACCTCATTTAGATTCACAGAAAAGTCTCTGTGGGGCAAAAAGGACAGTGGCACAGAGAAGACTGTGACCCTGCATGAGGTCACTTGGCCCGTAAGTGGCAGGTCAACCAGTTCCAACCCCGATTTTTTTCCATCCCATAACTGTCACTTTCCTTGAAGCCTTCAGGTCGAGTCTTGAGGTATCCACTAAAATATCAAAACATGATTAGTATGCAAACAACAAAAGAATAGTCGACATTGAGTCCTTTTTATGTCCCTAGCACTGGTGTGATTTAATCCTCGCAACAACCAAATCAGGTAGGTATTATTACAGACAGGGAAACAGATGCAGACAGAAGTGACTTACCCAAGGTCACACAGCCAGCAAGTGGCCAGGTCACATTTGAACTGCAGCTTTTTTAGAAGCGTATTTCACTTGTCTGCATTGTGACTATAATACCTGCTTATTATAGAAACTGAGAAAATCCAAAGACAGAGAAAAAAAGAAAATCAAGGCCCCATTGCCAAAACATGTGTGTTATATTCACCTCCTGGCTTTTTCTCTAGGCACTTACATTTTACACGTATTCATTCAATATGCATTTCTTGAGTGCCTGTTGTGTACCAAGCACCATTCTGGATACTGGGGATTCAAAGGTGAACCAGAACAGCAGGTCCCTGTCCTCAGAGGTTGACATTCTAGGGCCGCCTTCCTGTGTATTTCAGTGGCCCTCATCAACTGCCTGGATCCCAGGCTTTCTCCCGCAGAACTGCCCTCATATAAAGTGCCAGAGGGCTCTAACCATAGTTTAAAGGGCACCAAGACTCATGTGACATCTACCCGACATCTACGTGCTCAGTGTCTCTGTGCCAGTCGCCAACACAGCAGCAAACAATAAAAGTGCTGGACTTCCTTCTTTCTTGCTCTCAGTTTCCACAAGGATAGAAAATTACTCTGGATGCTCTGTAGGGCGGGGGTCCCTGACCCCCAGGCCACGGACCGGTACCAGTCCACAGCCTGTTAGGAACTGGGCTGTACAGCAGGAGGTGAGTGGCAAGCAAGCAAGCATTACCGCCTGAGCTCCACCTCCTGTCAGATGGGCAGCAGCAGTACATTCTCATAGGAGTGCGAACTGCACATGCGAGGGATCTACGTTGCCTGCTCATTATGAGAATCTTATTAATGCCCGATGGTGTGAGGTGGAAAGGTTTCATCCCAAGATCATCCCCCAAACCCCACTGAAAAATTGTCTTCCGTGAAACTGGTCCCTGGTGCCAAAAATGTTGGAGACCACTGCTGTAGGGCATCAAATATGTCATTTCCGTGATTGCAAGACAGCAACTGATTGTAAGACATAATGGGTTTCTTGGACAGAATGAGCTTACTGATTAGAAAATGGAGCCAGAGTTACCCCTCCTAACTGCGGCAGGAGAACAGCTTCCTAAGTATTAAACCCACATTTTCTAAACAGGGAAACTGAGGCTCAGAGAAACTGAGGTTCATTTGCCCAAAGTCACCTTGAGCTAGGAATCAGTCAGGTGTGTGCAGCCAGGACAGCTTTGAAAGACAATAGGACTAGGGATTGTCAGTATCTCAGAAGACAAGATGACCCAGTTATAATCCCAGAATGGAAGAATCTCATCTGTTCGGCCAAGCTCCACAGCAGGGAATCCAGTCACCAGCTGAGACTCTGGAATTGTGGTTCTCAAATTTTTTGGTCTCAGGACCCTTTTAACAACTAATACAAATTATTGACACCCTCAAAGAGTTTTGTGTATGTGAATGACCAGCTGTGGGCAGCTGAACCCCAACTGCCCTATCAATACTGCATAGGGAATTAAAACTGAAAATGTTTTAAATATTTGTTAATGTATTTTAAAATAATATCCGTTAACACAAATAACATACTTTTATTTTAACAAACTATGTTTTCTGAAACAAAAAAAAATTAGAAGAATGGCGTTGTTTTACCTTTGTGCACATCAAGAGCTGGATTTCCTCATCTGTTTCTTCTGTCAATCTGTTGCAATACATTGTTTCATTTGAAGTATGTAAAGAAAATCCAACTTCACACAGATAGGTAGTTATCTGCTTTTTGCAGATAATTGTGGTTGTTCTTCATACCAAAACTCAGCGTGTGGTAGCTTCCTAAAAATTTGTTGCAATGTGGCGGGGCGGGGTGGCTCACGCCTGTAATCCCAGCACTTTGGGAGGCTGAGGTGGGTGGATCACGAGGTCAGGAGATGCAGACCACTGTGAAACCCCGTCTCTACTAAAAATACAAAAAAATTAGCCAGGCGTGGTGGCGGGCGCTTGTAGTCCCAGCCACTCGGGAGGCTGAGGCAGGAGAATGGCGTGAACCTGGGAGGTGGAGCTTGCAGTGAGCTGAGATCATGCCACTGCACTCCAGCCTGGGCGACAGAGCGAAACTCCGTCTCAAAAAAAAAAAAAAAAAGAAATTAGTTGCAATGTGACATCTGAATACCTATCAACAAACTTTTCATACTCAGTAACATTAAAATTTGTTGGTCTATCTTGTGTTTTGAATGGTTCTTTTACACATGCATGTTTTGGGTTTGTTTGACTGGTTGGTTTTTGTTTTTGTTTTTGTTTGAGACAGGGCCTTACTGTGTCACTCAGGCTGGAGTGCAGTGGTGCCATCTCAGCTCACTGCAACCTCTGCCTCCCGAGCTCAGGTGATCCTCCTGCCTCAGCCTCCCTAGTAGCTGGGACTACAGGCGTGTGCAACCATGCCTGGCTAATTTTTGTATTTTTTGTAGAGACAGGTTTTTGGCCATGTTGCCCAGGCTGGTGCTGAACTCCTGGAGTCAAGCTATCTGCCCGCCTTGGCCTCTGAAAATGCTGGGATTACAGGCGTGAGCCGCCGCACCTGGCCTTGCACATGCGTGTTTTGTAATATCACGCATTGGTCATTTGGAAAGTCCCGACTCCAGGATTTACAGAGATCCTCCAGGTGTTGACACATTTTATTTTAATACCCTCTGGAAAACTTTACTATATGAGAGAATGAGAACGGAAAAAGGCAAATGATATCTAAGTACTATTGTGAAAATAGTTTTGACTCTGAGGGTTCCCTGAAAAGATCTCAGTGACCCTGCAGAGGTGCACAGACAACCCTTCAAGAACTACTGCCCTGGAGTGAGGAACACTTGATGACTATTGGGAAATCCAGGTGTGGGAAGCTGCACCCCAACCCTCTGAAGGCAGGAAACGCACAGAAAGTGGGACCCAAGACAGAAGGCCAGTCCTATGGTTGGGAAAAGACAGATTATGTGTGCCTGGGAAGGTGCTCCAAGGGCATCCCCTATGAACAGCAAAAGATCATTGAGAAGCATTCAAGGGCCCCAGCAGGGAGGTCCCAGTCACTAGACCCAGGATCAGAGAGTGCAGCGAAGCCTCACTGAAGATTCAACCTACCTCCCTCCCCATCTAGTGTCTGGAAGTACAAGGAGATACCAGCTGGATGGAGCTGGGTCAGCAGAGGCTGGAGTCAAGTGTTTGAGGTAGATACTGGTGAGGGTGAATGTATATGGAATGAACATCTAATCCTGAGTGTGCCCATCTCTTTGAGGGTGGAGTCAAAATAAAAGGAGTCTATAAAAAATATGATCAAGCGACAAGGGATGACAAGAGGGAAAGGGAGGAAGGACTCAGGAGCAATGGGCCCCCAGTTTGACCGACTGCTTTGCATCCTCTGCACCATCACCTGACTTCCCAGGAAGTGTCTCGTGTCTTCATTCTCTTGCCACAGTCCTGGGTAAATCTCTCATCACCTCTTTTCTTGTAACTGGTCTCTCTGCTTTCAGGGTTGGCACCTCCAATCTACCCCCTAGTCTTGCCATCAGACTTTTCTTTCTGCAATACAGATTTGATCAGGTCTTACCCCTATTTAAAACTGTTAGGTTAAAAAAAATGGTAAGATATTATCTCCCATTACCCACGGAGTCAAGGCTGGCCCAGTCAGTACTCAGTAAACATACAAGTTAGACTCCACCATTCCCTGCTTGTCCTCCAACTATTGCAGACCCTCTCTGTCTGGTCTTGGCTCTGTCCTTGCTCTTTGGTCTACTCCTTTGTCTTCCCAATGTACACATTTCTTAAGTCTGTCTCCCACTTCTAGTCCCTTGAGGGTGAATGTTAGCTTCCCTGGTTTGAACATCCAGTGCTCTCTAGCTGTTGTTCTGTTGTTTGCTTTAACCTCTATGGTATGGAGCAAATTGGACCCCCAGAGATGTCCATGCCCTAATCCCCAAATCCTTACAGGGCAAAAGAGACTTTGCAGATGTGATTAAGGGTACAAACCTTGAAATTGGGAGATTATACTGGATTATCTGGGCGTGCCCAATCTGATCACATGGAGTCCTTAAAAGTGGAGAACATTTCCCAGCTGAGTCAGAGAGCGAGCTGCCACTATGGAGGCAGAGTCAGAGAGAGGCAATGTTTCTATGAAGGTGGAAAAAGCGGCACACGAGTTGAAGAATACGGGTGGTCTCTGGAAGCTGGAAAAGGCGGGGAGACGGATGTTCCTCTAAAGCCTCCACCAAGAAGTACAGCCCTACTGACACCCTACTTTGAGCCCAGTGAGACCTGGGTTGGACTTCTGACCTATAGAACTATAAGATAATAAATCTGTGCTGTTTTAAGCCACAAAGCTTATGGTAATTTGGTACAGCAGCAATAAGGAACTGATACACTACCCCCTCCACCTTTAGTCTATTCTGGAAAGCTTTCCTATCTGACGAGGCTAAGGTATCAGGGATATTCCCTAACTTGCCCATGAAGTGGGATGGGGTGGCAGAACCATGTCATAAGTCAAAGTCCACCTCAACTGGGCAACTATGAGACAAGAGATGTGCATTATAGCACGGTGATCAACACACAGCTCCTAGAGGCTGCAAGGCCTGTCTCTGCCATACTGGATTTGTCTGCTTGTCCAGTTTACTCCTGAACCTTTGAAATGTGAGGGTTTCATTTGTTTCTGTAAATGACCTTCTGTAACATGTATTTCCCATGCCTGAGTTCTCCAGAACCACTGTCCACTTAACTGAGAAACAGAGAAGGGAAGCAAAGGCCGTGACATCCAGTGTGCCTGCCACATCAGTCTCCCCTCTGTTTCTGAGGTGGCTGTGTACTGGAATTAAAGGTGTCAAAGGATCCATAGTTTCTCTCACTCTGTAGGTTGTGTGTTTACCCTGTTAATAGTTTCTTTTGCTGTGCGGAAGCTCTTTAGTTTAATTAGATCCCATTTGTCACATTTTTGCTTTTGTTGCAATTGCTTTCGGCATCTTCATCATGAAGTGTTTGCCCGTGCCTATGTCGTGAATGGTATTGCCTAGGTTGTCTTCCAGTGCCCACCAATGATAGACTGGATAAAGAAAATGTGGTCCATATATACCATGGAATACTATGCAGCCATGAAAAGAACGAGATCATGTCCTTTTCAGGGCCATGGATGGAGCTAGAGGCCATTATCCTTAGCAAACTAACAGAGGAACAGAAAACCGAAAACCACATGTTCTCACTTATAAGTAGGAGCTAAATGATGAAAACACATGGACACATCAAGGGGAACAACACACATTGGGACCTGTCAGAGGGCAAAGGGTAAGAGAAGGGAGAAGATCAGGAAAAATAGCTAATGGTTACTAGGCTTAATACCTGGTGATGACATAATCTGTACAACAAACCCACATGACATGACAAACTTGTACATGTACCCCTGAACCTAAAATAAAAGTTAAAAAAAAAAGATGTCAAAGAGGAGCAAAAGACAGTACAAAGCTTGGGAGGCAGCCACTTCTAGGATTTGAATGCTATGTCTGATGTGACCTAGCTGTGTGGCCTTTGGGCTAGTTGCTTAACCTCTCTGAGCCTTAGTTTCTTTATCTGTAAAATTTACACAAGAATGTTGACTTGCAAGTTTGCTGTAAATATTAGGCAATAAAACGTATAGAATGTTTCCAAAAAAGTACCTGGCACACAGTAGGTACACGGCCAACAGCACCTAATGGGAGTAGAACGCAAAAGAACACAGAATATGTGGAGTTCATATTGGTGACACACTGTAACCACTAGGGGGTGCTCAAAAACCCCTTTCACTCTGTCCCGAAGGAAAAATATCTCATCTTTGTGAGACTAAGATCCCAATTGGACATTGCCTAGGAGATAAAGTCTTCAGTGGAAGGAATAGAAGAGTTTAAACCTTCTATGTCAAAGCTTCCATGTCAAGAGATCTGTGTCAGATCTCTCTTTTGGGTGTCTTTTCTCGATTCCCTCCCATATGGCTGGAGTAGTGAGAGACCCAGCGCAGTGGTGTGCTACGGACCAAGGACTGTTAAATTTTCAGCTATTATTAAATACTAAATCATAGAAATTTACAAGTAAGTAAATCATTATAAACAAGAGTAATAAATACTCAAAAATCATTATTATTTCACTGTGTTTTACTGTCAGCTCTGATGTTGAGGTCACGCGTATTGTATCTTTAAGGTGGAAATATTACATAATCGTGTGCTACTGCGTGTCTTCCCAGCCCAATATTCAGTGGGGTCATGTTGGCAACTTGAAATTGGCCATGGTGGGAGTATTTGTACCACAGAAATTGGCAAACACTACAAACCAGGGCTTGATTTATTGTTCTGTTGATTATCTAGGGCAGGGGCCAACAAACTACATTCCGTGGGCCAAATTTGGCCCACTGCCTGTTTTGTAGAGCCAACTGTGAAATCACAGGCTAGCACTGTGAGCTGCAGAGACTAAGCTGGACATCCACCCCGCTCTGCTCTATTTCCCCTTTGCTCCCAGCACCTGCCTCTCTGGCTGGTGACCGCACATCATCACTGCCCAGGATCTATGCTGGTTGCCATCTACACATTGGAGACTGCTACTGGCAACTGCTGAGCACGATGCAAGTAGAATCTCAGGCTGGGAGTTGGTAACTTAGCGAGTCACCCCACCTCTGATCAGTTGTGCAAGCTGAGAAGAATGGGCTCTCTGAAAGAAGAAAAGGGAAAACTGGGATCTGGATGTCACTAGGGCAGACAGTAAGATTGATCTTGGCAGTCAGCATGAGCTGCTGCCCTTGTTGTGGGCAAAGTCCTTGTGGAGAAGCATTGCTCCTGTGTTGGAGGATGGCCTCTGGCTGGGAGAAACATGGTCCAACAGTGACTACAGTTGGTTTTCTGAAGCTCTGAGAGCAGCTCAGGCTAGCAGGCTGATAAATTGTAACCAAGTTAGTGAGTGCTATTAGGGACTCCCAAGGAGCTGTGAAAGTACACACAAGGGAACTAAAACACAGCCTGGGGTGAGGAGGGGCCAGAGAAGATGTCTTGAGAAGAACTCTCAGCTGGAGCTGAGAGCTGGGAGAAAAGCAAGAGTTAGTGAGGCAGTTGAAAGGGAAAAGTGTTTGGGGCAGAAGGAGCACTCAAGCAAAGAAACGGGAGTCAGAACATCGCGGTCCATGACCAGGGAACCTCAAGGTGATCTGTGCATGATTTGAACGATAGGTGCCTAGGGGGAGTAGAGACAGAGGATTGGCAGATCATACAGATCCCATGTCTTATTCTAATAAATTTGGGTCTTAAAGGATGATGGGAAGTTTCTCCAAGTGGATTTGAATTTTAGATATATCCCTTCAGCAGGAAACGTACAGCAGGGGCCCCCAACCCAGGGGCCATGGACCAGTACCCGTGCACAGTCTGTTAGGAACCGGGCTGCACAGCAGGAGGTGAGCTGTAGGTGAGTGAGTATTACCACCTAAGCTCCAGCTCCTGTCAGATCAACAGTGGCATTAGATTCTCATAGGAGTGTAAACCTTACTATGAACTGCGCATGCAAGGGTTATCTGCTCCATATAAGAATCTATCTAATGCCTGATGAAACCATTCCCTACTCCCCTATCCATGGAAAAATTGTCTTCCACAAAACTGGTCCCTGGTGCCAAAAATGTTGGAGACCACCAACATGGAGGATAGACTAGTGTTGGGAGGAACACTGGAGTTAACGAGATCATCAAGGAAGCTGTTGAGTAGTTCTAGTAAGGGATGCAAAGTCTCCATAAAATTGTGTGACAAATGAGGTAGCATCGGGTATTGGTTGGGATACAGGCTAAGCTATTATAAGAAAGAGGTCCAAATACAGTGGCTTAAATGAGATATAAGTGTATTTCTTTCCCACAATTCTGGCCAAAGCTAGGTGGGTGGCTGACGGTGGGCAGATATCTCTGCTTTGCAAAATCATCCAGAAATCCAGCTGGCTGGCCTGCTCTGCCAAACCCAACATGTGGCTGCCATTGCTGGATCCAAGGCTGCTGCTTCAGTTGTTGCCATTTCCCAGCCGGCAACAAAGGGGAAAGAAAGTCCAGGGCAGCAAGCAGCTTTGGCTTTAAGGAGATGTGGTTGTACTTATCACTGCTGTCATGCTTAGCTCAAAGAAAGTCTAGGAAATGTAGTCCATGGCAGGGTGGCCACGTGCCCAGCTAAAACTCAGGGGGTTCTATTATCCAAAGGTATATGAGGGGAATAGATTCTGGGGGTGGAGTTGGCAGTCTCTTCACCACAGAAATAGAGAAAAGATGTCAGAGTCAAGAGATATGTTAAAAGTTGAATCTACAAGATTTTTCAGTCTGGATTCTCAACTGCAAGCAAGAGAAATGGACTCAGACTTAAGCAGAAAAGGTATTTAAAGAAAGAAACATTGGATGTTTACAAATCACTGGGAAGGCTAGAGAATTGGTTCTGAAAATTGGCAAGAGCCAAGGACGGCTAAGCAGACAAGATATTCAGGAATAGGAGCTGCCTGAAATGAAACGCACTGCTGCCAACACCAGGTATGGGGTGCTGTGCACCAGCACTGCACGCCAGATGCTGTCATGGGCACCATTGCCACCACCTGTTCCCTACTTCTTTGCATCACTTGAAAAAGTTAGGGCCAGGTGCAGCGGCTCACGTCTGTAATTCCAGTACTTTGGGAGGCCAAGGTGGGAGGATCACCTGAAGCCAGGAGTGTGAGACCAGCCTTGGCAACATAGCAAGACCCACTCTCTACACAAAATTTAAAAATTAGCCAGGCATTTTGTGCACACCTGTAGTTGCAGCTACTGGGGAGACCGGGGCAGAAGATCGCTTGAGCCCAGGAGGTCAAGGCTGCAGTGAGCTAGAATTATACCACTGTGCTCTAGCCTGGGTGACAGAGTGAGAACCTATCTCAAGAAAAACAAAAAGTCAGGAAAATGGGGAGCATAACTCTTCACTCCTTAAGTACACGTATGGCATGGAGACTTCCTTCCAAAATGTACAGTGTGGAAAGCGGGGCAATGGTTAGCTTTTCAGTGGCAAAGCTGAAGAATCACAGAAAGTGAGGTGTAAGGACAAGGTAGGAGTTGAGGATAACACCCAGGTTACTTACTCAGGATACTAAGTGGATGGTGGAGCCATTCCATAAAATGAGAAGCCCAGGAGTAGAAGCCAATGGAGGAAGAAATAGAAGTTCCATTTTGGATATGTTGAAATTGGAGAGTTCATGGAAATGTCCCATAAGGAAATAAATATATGCATGTGGATCACGAAGAAATGGTCAAGCCTGAAGATGAGATTTTGGGAGTTACCAGCACATAGATTGGAGTGAATGAGATCCCTAAGGAAAGCAGATTGAAAGTAAGGAGAAAGCCGGAGACCCAATTCTAAAGAAATCAACATTCAAATCCTGGGGAGCGGGGAGTTCACAGTCCCTTGGAAAAACTGAAACAAGAAAAAAGTGGATAATCAGGACACAGGAGTATCACTGAGGCCAATTGAGGAGACACTTTGAAGGAGTGAGTAGTCAACACTGTCCATCGCTACAGATAAGCCAAGTCAGCTAGAGTTTAGGGAGGGCTCACCAGGTCTGGAAATGGCCAATATTCAAATGGAATATTTCAGATGAATTCCTTTGCAGGCAACTGCAGTGAGTTGAAACCCTGAGACACTGGATAACCCTTGCCCAAAGTCTGGCCATGAAGGAAAAATAGAAATGGGTGTTTCTAGAATGAAATATCAGCTTGAACAAGGATTTTTTAATGAGAAAACACCTGAATAAACTTCTGTGTTGAGGAGGAAAAGTTGGTAGAGAGAAGTTGAAATTTAGGAGAAAATAAGGTGAGATTCTTGCTGGTCCTGGAAGAAGGGTCAGCAAGTGGGGACTGGTAGAGGAAATGGTCTTCCATAATGATATGGTTTGACTGTGTCCCCACCCAAATCTCATCTTGAATTGTAATCCTGATGTGTTGACGGAGGGACCTGTAATCTCCATGTGTTGAGGGAGGTGATTGAATCATGGGGGCGGTATTCCCCATGCTGTTATTGTGATAGTGAGTGAGTTCTTATGAGATCTGATGGTTTTATAAGTATTTGACAGTTTCTCCTTCTCAAGCTCTCTTTACTGCCACCTTGTGAAGAAGGCACTCGCTGCTTCTTCACCTTCCACCACAATTGTAAGTTTCCTGAGGAACTGCAGGTCAATTAAAGCTCTTTCCTTGACTAATTACCCAGTCTCTGGCAGTTCTCTATAGCAGTATGAGAACAGACTAATACACACGCGATGAAAGAAACTTCTTTCCCTGAATTGGGAGGGAAACTAGGCAGAAAGGCTGAGAACTCTGATGAAGTCAGAATTGAGGATGGAAGGAAGTTGTTGGGGGTGTTTCTTCTTCTATTTTCCTGGAAAAGCAGAAAGCAAGGTCTCAGGAAGAGTGGGAGAATTTGGGGACAGCCCCTATGGGGAATGGGAGAGGCTTCGTGGAAACCTAGGCCACATGGACAGCTTCCTAGGAAGTCCTAAAAGCCCATTGGAGGTTGGGGATCATGACTCCATAGGAGGGAACATGTCAGTGGCTGGCTGGATCCAAAGGCAGGGCTAGCAAAGGGGAGAGCCACCAGGGAGAGTGGACACAGAGTTCTCCATGGAGTTCTGCTCTGCAAGTCACTTGGGCCAGGCCCCAGTGTTCAAAAATAAGCACTATCTCAGAAGGAATGTTCTTTTTCCCATTTTGGAGGACAGCACAGTCTGCTGGAATTTGGCCAAATCCTGGCTTTGTCTTACTTCCCAGGACTAATTAATGGCCTCCTAGGAATATTTTTGCCCGATACCTCTCTGACAAAACTGTGTGAGAGTTCCCAATAAAGAAGTGGAAGCAGAAGTGGAACCCTCCTTCCACGTGAGGGTTTGTTGACCAGGAGAAAAAAGCTGGGCTGGTTCATATTCTTCATGGTTCTGAAAAGCCATTATAAAAGCCCAGGGCAAACTCCCGGAGACTTGGGAGTGAGAACCTAGCCTGCCCACATCTCAGACAGGAGAGTAATTACCTTCTGTTTGGAATATGCTGCACTTCTTCTTCCTTATTGCCTGGAAACAATCCTTTGAGTTAGTGTCATGTATTTCCACACTTACTTAGTTTGGCATGGAGGAAGGAGCATGAATTCTAAAATTAGATCAAATTTACCTCCACCGTTTGCAAAATCCTATATAAACTGCTTCTCATATCTCAGACTTCAATTTCTTCATCTGTAAATAGGGGTTAATTAAAACTACCTGGTGGGGTAGCAGTGAAGTTGAAATGAAATAATATATGAGAAGCCCGGAATATACAAAGCACTTGCTACATGGTATCTATGTGAGCTGGCTCACAAAAGCCAATTGTGAAATATTCAGGAATCTTGCCAGTCGGTGGTTAAACCATTAGTAGCCTGAAATCAGCCATGGTGTGAGTCCTTATACCATAGAAATCAGCAAATGCAATACATCAGGGCTTTTCCTTTTTTCTGGAAATCTAGTTTAAAAACCACTATTATCATTATCATTATTATTACTATTATTATTATTATTTTCCTTCCTCTTCCTTATACCCTGGAAACAACCTCTGAGGTAGTATTATACCCACTTTACAGAAAAAAAAAAAATGAGGGTTAAATTAAATGACTTGCCCAACATCAACAGCAAGTGAGAAATATCTGATTTTTTGTTTGTTTATAAATCTAGTGCAGTCTCCACTCCACCACAGCAGCATGAATTCAACGCAGCGCTGTTCTAAGTACGCACAGATTCTGTGTTGGTTTCTGGTTCTCCTTTTCCAGGCACTTTAGTGGACATGTGACCTTTCAGGGCCTGCAGCTACCCCCTGGACAACTTAGTTATATCAGAAAGCCAGAGCTCTGTGCCTGCTGCAGAAAGACCCAAGGAGTTTCGCCTCATCTTCAAGCTTTCACGTTTGTTATTTTCACCATCTACTAATCACTGTATTTCTATACACACTTCACCGTCTAGATGGCATCTTTATGTAAGTGGCTTTACAGGCTCCAGAAACACGAGCTCATTGTCTCTCAGCAACCCAGTGGAGAGAGTCAGAGATCAGAGAGAGCCCTTATTTTTTTGGGGGGGGGGAAAGGCATTAAAATTTGCTTTTATTATTGATGATCTCCTTACATTTAAAACTTGAGGAGGTACATATCAAAAAATAAAACTTTTGAGACTTAGGTAAAGAGATAAGTGGTGGGTAATAAAGACGGAGGGTGGGGGGTCGAATGTGGTCATTATGTCAGAAATACTCTTGAGTGAGGGCCCTGGAAGTGAGCACACACTTATTTCAGAGGTTCCAGACAACAAGGGCAAGAGACAAACACAGTAAGTCACATAGACCTCTTTTTTTAGTAAAAAGGAATCACTGGTTTGAGTGTCAGTCATGCCAAGCAACATTTGAATAAACTTTCAATGGCAATTTTGTTAAAAGGGCAAAGACCTTGTTCATAAAGGCCAGTTCTTATTCTGGCCTTTAACAGTAAGTTGAGAGATGAGAGCCCTTATTTTACAACTGAGAAAAGTGACTTGGCCCAGGTCTCCTAAGGAATTGGAGGAGTGGCAGTCGGCTCTTCTGCTCCAGCCAAGGCTGGTCCACTCACCAGCAAAGGGCTAAGCAGCAGCTGTAGCCTCTCTCCTGAAGGAAGAGAAAATGTCAAGGGCTATCAAGACTGTAGCTGCAGGGCATAAACTCATTACCAGCTATGGTTAAGGATTAAAAAAAAAAATCCCTGTGTGATATACTACCATCCAATTATGAGCTTCACCCAGGCTTGAAGCAGTTGACACTGTCCACAACAAAGATTCTAAGCCCAGTCTGGATGAGAACATGGTTTGCATTCTCTGGCTACAGGGTGATACTAAGATAGATTTGGGGAAAAAAAATAATAATAACATGGAGAGATTTTCACACTGCCAGATTATTCGAGCTGACATTATTACTATCACGCCCAGTGATTAAGAAGAAAATAAAGGCAGAGTCCCACTTGTCTAATTTGATTACCAGAAAACCTCTGTGTTGATTACTAACGTCTGCTTGCAATTGGGGACAGAAAAAAAGGTATCCAATCAGCTGAAAGCCGGGAAATCACACACAGGAGCCTGAGGTCTGTGTAAATGAAATTTAATAATAAATGGGATGTGCTCCCAGATCAAGAGGTAAATAACAGGCAGAGAAAAGGAAGGTTCATACTGTTTAGGCAGGAAGAGGATTCCAGCCAACCTGGAATACGTGGAGAAATGGTGTGCATTGAGAGGGGAAGACATGCTCAGGGCAGGAGCAAAGTGAAGGAGGCAGAGGGATGGAAAGGAAGACAATGAATTAGAGATGAAACTACAGTGTGGATGTGGTCTCGGGAGAGGTGATTATAAGTACTGTTGGGGGTGGTGTACAAGAAGGCTTCTGTGTATACAAGAGAAAAAATGTGGCCAAACGAGGAGAATCTCAGAGCCAAGCAGAGGAAGATTGCATGATGAAGGGCCAGCATCTAGTTGAAACCCATCAGCGCATTGCATAGGAAAGAAAGGGGCTGGCTTAGAGGCTGCTCAGCTTCAACATGCAGGAAAGAACCAAAGCAGCCAGGAGGTAGGAAGGACCTAGCAGTCCTGGGTTGGGTACCTAGCAGTTCACAGCCCTGCATAAAGGCTGTAGCGGTAGCCATGCCATCGCCTGAAGATATTTATATGTGCACAATGAAATGGCCCCAGTGGAAGTACTTTGAACTGTTGAAGTGGTGCTGATACTGGAGGCAGGGGGAGAAGCTAGGCTTGAAGTCAGAAGACCTGGCTCTGTTCCTTCCCACCTGTAAAATGGGGATAATAATATAGTTCACCCTTAGGGGTGAGGGAAGGGGGAAAAAGACAATTTAAAATAAGGAGACTGAGGTAACCCTCTGCAGATTAAAACTGTGAAATCAACATGTTACAGATCAAAGCAGAGATAGGCAAACTCACATGAAAGAGACAGAAAAGTGCCCAGGCTGAGCAAGAGTTTGATTAAAAGTTTTAAAAAGGCTAGGTACGGTGGCTCCTGGCTATAATTCCAGCACTTTGGGAAGCTGAGGCAGGAGGAGCTCTTGAGCCTGGGAATTTGAGACAAGCCTGGGCAACATAGTGAGACCCTGTCTCCACAAAAAAGTTAAAAATTAGCCAGGTGTGGTGGCACACACCTGTGGTCCCAGCTACTCAGGTGGCTGAGGCAAGGGGATCACTTAGCCTGGGAGGTCGAGGCTGCAGTGAGCCATGATCATGTCACTGTACTCCAGTCTGGGATCAAAACAAAAAGGAAAAGAGAAAAGTACTAAACAGATCCGAAGAAGGAGATGGTGCAACCAAAGGGGACTTTTTGGGAAATAGGAGCATGATAAAAAGGTGGACCAGAGGCAGTGGCTCTTCCAATAAATTCAAACAAGTCTTACCACATGCCTAGAGGATTCTGGTCCCATGGGCAAGATCATACCTATTGTGGCCACTTAGGATGAGGCCATTAACTATTCCAACCATCTAACTCCACATCTTGGTTCTGCACTCAACAACGTCACCTTGTTTTATTCTATGGGGGAAATACTCTGCTTAATTTAGAACTTCCCCTGGGTCAGCCTCCGAATATTGTGTTGGTCTTCCTTGCAGAACAAGGCCACTGTGTTCACTGAGCTTTTCTCAGGGGAGCAGGAAGAGAGGGGCCCTGCTGCCTGTGCAGTGAGATTCTTCTCTGCTCTGCCAGGCTCCAAGGTATACAGGTGCACCAAACATCTTTGCCGCCAAAGAACCTGTCAATGGAAAGTCAAGCATACTAATGATAGAATGTGGTAAATACCTGTGAAGACCTGTAGTTAAGCCACTCTGTGCCTCTGCATCCCATAACTATAAAATAGGTAATGATATGAGTTTATACATGGAAAGCTCTTAACACTATGCCAG
Source organism: Homo sapiens (assembly GCF_000001405.40). NCBI lineage: Eukaryota > Metazoa > Chordata > Mammalia > Primates > Hominidae > Homo > Homo sapiens. The sequence goes on from NC_000009.12 coordinate 107,146,966, forward strand.
GCACATAGCGAGCTCCCAATAAATGCTCAACACAAGCAATTACTGGGCACAGTGGCGTGTGTCTTCACTCCACTGTGCCTACTGTCCTCTTGACTTTGCAAACTTATTTCTTCATGCCATTTTTAACAGCTGTAATGTGCTTCCTTATTATTAGTAGGATATGATTATCAGGATGTAAACACTATGCTACATACGAAGGAAAAAGAACTGCTTTGTTCAGACTGAAACAATCATTTATAAAGTAGGGAACAGAAAGATCTTCTAACACATTCACAGGTTATTTTAATACATTCCAAATAAATGCCAAGGAAGGCAGTGTTTATAAATAGCATTCAAAACAGCCCCCTCCACTTTCTTGGTGAATGTGCACCAGCTTGTCAATGTCCCCATTGTGCAGGGCCCAGAGCGGGATATAATTAAATCCTATTACCAAGGAAAACTTGCAGCATAGTTGGTCTGACACATTTAATGATTTATTAACTCAATATGCAAATGTAATGAAAATAACTGTGCCTGGGAAGTGGGGATGGATGAGATGGTATGCTGCCATCTTGGTCCTCAAAGAGCTTATAATCCAGTGGATAAGATGGATAAGGAAATGGCTAAGTATAGTCTGAAGCACAAATAAGTGAATACTAATTACACCTTCAGCAGCAAGAAGCACCAAAATCTCTGAACTCTTTCAGGGCAAGGTTTTGTCTATGCCCCTTCATCTGGAGTGAGAGACAGCTGCTGCACTGATTGGAAATCTGAACTCTGGCGTCAGACTGCCTGGGTATGAATCCAAGCCCAAACCCTTGCCTATTGTATGAACTTAGTTGGGTGAGATGGTTAACTTCTATAAACCTCTGTTTCCTTATCTTTAACATAAGGATAATAATAGTAACTATCTCAAAGAGATGGATGAAGGTTGAGATAATGAATATGAAACATATATTGTAATACCTGCCACATAAACAGTGTTCACCTTAGCTCACTTTTCCCCAGCACCGATCATAGAGATCACCCATAGTTGGTACCACTAGTGGATATTTAAAAGAATAAACAATATATGAATAAAATAAAGAGTGAATGAATTGTTTAATTAAGGTGAATATTGTGTGGGAATAAGTGTGAAAGTGGAATTACCCTTGATTAGGGAAACAGGAGGTTTCTTAGAGGAGGTGATATTGGAGAGAGCCTGAGAGGCTGGACTTTCACAGCATGGGTGGAGCAGGGCAGATGTGCATTAAACGAGGTCAGAGCCTTGGAAACATTCCAAAGATTGTGTAGTACTTTTTGGGGGAAAAGAAGAACTAGTAGAGGTTTTACTAGAGGGGTTTGATGTGATATCAGTTTTTTAAAGTGCTATTCAGGCCACACACAAGCAGTGAGAAAAAAGAGCAGAAGCTGGAGGGCAATCGGGAGGCCACCCCAATAGTTCAGAGACTGTGGGAGTCTGCACCAGGGCAAAGGTTGTGGGAATGAGGAGAAGGAGTCCAAAGGGATGGAATGTCAGGGCCAGAGGAGAGGGAGGAGTAAGTGAAGAGGCTGAGGTTTCTCACCTGGGTGATTGGCACAGCCTTTATTATAGAGAGAAATCATTATTAAACTACAGAGAGAAAATGGCACGTAAACAATTGTTCAGTTATTTCTCCTAAATCTATAATCCTAGATTATCATGGTGGATGAGACCAGTCCCCCAAACATTCACCATCTGCTGCATCAATTTTACTCATCTTCGTCCTAATTCCAAAGCAGCTTCAGGACATCTCTTATTCTTAGAAAGGTCAGCCTTATACTGAGTTAAAATCTGCTTTCCCATAATTTCCAGCCTTTGGTCCTGGTTTTATCTTCTAGAAACACATATCAAGTTTAGACCCTCTTCTCCAAGACCCTGTTTTTTGTTTTGTTTTGTTTTGTTTTTCCTTTGGAACCATTTAGCTGGCTAAACCAGAATGCCACCATTATTTTTCTAATTTGTCCATAAAAACATGAGGTACCTCATCGAATGGTCTGCTGAAATCACAGTACACTGTGTCTGCCTCCCGCTGCTCTATTAGTCTATTAAACCTGACCCTCTAAAAAATGTGGAGAGGGTCTAATTCTGTTTGTGGTGATAAGCTGGACGCTAATGACCATCAATTTTGGTCTAAGTGCATATGAACAATCTGTTTCATCCTCTATACTGGAATATTCCCCAAGATCACCAAGTTGATGGTCCAAGTTCAAATGCAATAGTATTGTAATGGAAACACTCCTCTGCAAATCTCTCAGAGCCACCATCACTCTTAGGAAAAGCTTCTGCTGCTTTCGATCTTTGATCACACCATGACAGATCTCCCCAGCTGATTTTTGCATTTGCTGATTCTTCCATAACTTACTGTTTGTATAACTGGTTCTTTCTCGTCACCTGGGTTTCAGCCTAAATATCCCACACCAGGGAGGACTTCCAAACCACCTGATCTAGACTCAACCAATTCCCATTCACTGTCCCATTACCCTGCTTCATTGTTTGCATAGAATTTAAAAACTATCTGAAATGGTTTTGTTCTTTGTTTGCTTACCATCAAATAGAAGCCTCCTGAGGGTAGGGATTTTGCTTTATTCATGTCGTAGTACCAGCATTAAGGACGCTGCCTGGCCCAGAGCCTGTGCTGAATAAGAACTTGCTGAATAAGTGTATAAACATCACTGCCTTAGAATTCTAACTGCCCAGCCTCCCATCCTTTCAGCTTTCACAAACCCCAGAATGATGTTGTTCTTCTCTCTTGAGGTTCCTGTCACATCCATTTTGCCAAGCAATTTTTCCTAGTTGATCAGAATTAGGTCCAGAACAGAAGTTCCCCAAGTCTCTTCTGCTCCTGGCTGAAAGATGAAATTATCAGCCAAGTCGAGCAAGACAAAATGGATCAGATGCCCTGTGTGAGGCTGAATGAAGCTCCCAGCAGTTACTGCCCCCACATCATTCCTCACAGGGAGAGGCCACATCCCCCAGCTGTCTCTTTTCATCATAGGAGCTCCCCAGCTTCAAGAAGGGGCTGGATCTGCTCTGGCATTGTCAAAGCAAGTTTACCATGACCGACTGACCTCCTTCTCCTCTCTCTCTTGAGTTCTTGACTCTTGGCTTTAACAACTGACATCAGGCCAGACTCTGATAGCAGCTCCAACCATGGAATTATAATCAATGTGTACCATTGGTTGCATGAGTCAGAAACCCTCAAACTGAAAAGAAAAAAAAAAAAAGAAGAGGAGTAAATGAAATTCAACAGAGAGTCTCATAGACCCCAGGGTAATAGGCAGGCAACTATTGTTATTGTTATTGTCTCTGTCTCTGTCCCCTGCCCCTCTGAGGCCACATGCTCTTGAATCCTTTTTTCTTTCTGCAGAGCTGAGTTATGCTCCTTTGTTTAACAGCTGGCTTTCACTCCTGGATCATGGTTTCTCTGTTCTCCAAAAACTTTGAAGTACATGTGCTATGGCTTTCCCTTTGTCACGTTCAAACTTCCCCTCAAGTCTCTATGACATTTCAGCTCTGATCCACCACTGATTTACTACAGTCTTTAGCCTGCTGGTTCAAGCTGGCCAATGAATCGTCTTGTATTTTAGGTACGTATCTTTGGTCCAATCAGACGTAGCTCAAGAGGCCATCATATGGTTCATAGAGATGCTCCCCACAAGGGCAGTGAATGGGATTTTCTGAGGTAGAATGTAGGAAAGGGAGATATCTCAAGACATTCTAATTCGCATAGCATGATATCCTTGCTAAGGTGACTATTTCTTGCTTGGCGCTGTTTTGTTTTCCTAGATCGGAGCCCAGAACAAACCTTTGTACATTCTAGACCCGAACCTCTCTTCCAAAGGTGGAAGGGGATCCCATCTGTGCAGCAGTTAGCAGTTCTCATTCTGTTCTTACTGCTGGATTTCAGCTGCTTCCAGCATAAGCCCAACATACACTCATATCTAGAGACTGACACCTACTGCACTAGATACAGTTGGTCTCAACCATGAGTGGTACCATCACCACAAGGGGGGTATGGAAATGTATAGGAGTAGCTGTGAATTGTCCCAGTGACTAGGGTTAGCTGCTGGCCTTTAATGGGCGGGGGCCAAAGAACCTTAATCTCCTGTAGCATATAGTATAGTCCCTCTCAACAAAGATGTGTCTTGTCTAAAATGCCAGCAGTGTCTCCTTTGAGGAACACAAGTCGACTGATAACTTAGCCAATCATCCATGCTTATGCTCAGAACCTTTATTGCCAACTACTTTATTAGTCTAGGTATACAAATATAAATGTGTACAACATAGTCCCTGCTGTAGGTTCTCACAGCCTGAAGGAGAAGGGAGTCATATAAACAAACAAAGCCAAATGGGGAAATGAAGGAAAGAATTATTTCTAGATTAAAAATAAATAGCTGTATAAGAAAGGTAGCATAATTATAGTACACTATTTGACTCAGCAATGACAGATATGTAATCAGAACAAATATCAGTATAACCAAAAAATTGTTATATATATATTTTGGGACTATGCAGGAAATGAGAAGTGGGGTGGACTTTTTATAAGAAAATGGAATAGTCATCTACTATAAAAGAATAGATGATTCTAAGAAATTGCAGCATAGCTGTATAAGCACATTATTTAGAAATACAGAGGCAAATTCCAGAAGACATAACTGGAAGAACTGCATTGGCTGCCTCTGGAGGATAGATGGTAAGACCAAGTTTGGGTTTTTGGTAATAAATCTTTTCAAATAATGTAATTTTTATCTATGCATATGTATTATCCTTTGATATAAAATTTAATTTTAAAGTTAATATAGAATGATAAGGCCTATCTTGGAGGAATGTGAAAGATGCTATGCATTTATTCTTAATGTTATTATGCCTCTGATTGGTGAAGGTATGAAAGGTTTCACTAAGCTAAGTATGGAGGCCTGTGAAAGTATACCAGCAATCCCCAACCTAAGAATGAGTCATGTTCCAAAAGCTTATTTATTTATTTATTAGCATCTCTGTTGGAAAATGCCCTGATTAACCCACCTGGAGCAGACAACTCCAGAAATCCCAGCATTGGCTGCCACTTAGGGTATAGAGGAAACACAATAAATACCAGAGGGAAGGGAATTTGGAGCCTGGGAGAAATCTAGGAGACAGGAGGTAAGGAGAGAGAAAGGAGAGAGAAAGGCAACCCAAGAGTAGCATGCAAAGATATAAATGCCTGTGAGGCCCCCAGGTGACTTTGGGGTTTCTCAATTTTCCCAGTGTAACTGGTGATTTATCTGTCTCATCCTCCTCCATTTGTAAGTTCCCGATAGGCAAGGTCCACACCTCAATCACATCTGAGTCCCCTGCATCTAAGAGGGGACCCTGCCTGTGCTTCCCTAAACAGCAGAGAGTGATTGCGTGTTTATTCCTGACAGATGCTATTCTAAGTACTTTCTGTGTATGAACACATTTAGTTCTGACAGACACCTGGAGAAGTAGGTATTATTACCTCTACTTTGCAGAGGATGAAACCAAAGCACTTCCAGACTCAGGAAATCTGACTGAATCACATTGAGTCCATCTGAAATTTTAGCTCTAAGTCAAATACGGCCCCCATTCTGGAGAAACTTTGTTTCTCTGATTTGCAACCTCCCGTACCAATATAATTCCCTTTCTTTCTAATACTAGAAATGTAGTGGCAGGAAAGAGAAAAAAAGAGAGTTAATATTTATTGAGCTATTTTTTAATGTGCCAAGCATTTTGCATGTGTTATCTAATTGAAACCTCATGATAAACATTTGAAGCAGATGTTATTATATTTATCTTCATTTCATTGGTGAAGAAATTGAAGGTCAGAAAAATGAATTCCCAGGATCCTATACAGTTGGAGTTGCAGAAGTGAAGTCTGAGCCCAGGTCTCTTTGATAACCATGCCTTTCAAGGTAGCCAGCCTCCAAGATGGCTCCACAAGATCCCACCTCCTGGAATGAACCTTTATGAAGTCTGTATTAGTCCATCCTTATGCTGCTATGAAGAAATACCCAAGAGAGGGTTATTTATAAAGGAAAGAGATTTAATTGACTCACAGTTCTGCATGGCTGGGGAAACCTCAGGAAACTTACAATCATGGCAGAAGACACCTCTTCACAGGGCAGCAGGAGAGAGAATGAGAACCTAGCATAGGGGGAAGACCCTTATAAAATCATCACATCTTGTGAGAACTCTCACTATCACAAGAACAGTATGGGGAACACCACCCCCACGATTCAATTATCTCTACCTGGTCCCTACCATGACATGTGGGAATTATGGGAACTATAACTCAAGATGAGATTGGGGGCAGGGGGACACAACAAAACCACATCAAAGTCCTTTTCCTGGCCATTGTATCAGAGTTGGTCTACAGGACCAACAGAATAAAGTGGAATTGATCACTTTTGACTATAGAGACTGTAAATCATAAAAGACCTGTTGACTTCTGTTTGTCTCTCTTTTAAGTCACTCACTCAAGGAGGGGCCAGTTGCGAGGTCATGAGGACCACACTGCAAGAATCTAAGGTCTCTTGCCGAGAGCCATCTGAGTGAGTCATCCTGGACATCTTGCAACCCTAGTCAGCCTTTCGGATGACTACAGCCACAGCTGACAACTTGAACTTAACTGCAAATCCTAAAAGACCCTGAGCCAGAACCACACATTTCAGCTGCTCCCACATTTCTGACCTTCAGAAACCATATAAGGCAATAAATGTTTTAAGTTGCTAAGGTTTGGAGTAATTTGTTACACAGCAATACATAGCCAATATATCTCGTTCTTCCCTCTGAGGAGGAGTCTGTGAACCAGGCATTTGTACCACTATGGCCTCCTCACCTTCCCGTGGCCACTCCCTGCTCTTCTTGAGCACAGAGCTAATACCTGATCTCACTCAGTGGCCATGAAAGAGTAGCCACACATCTGTGATGACTTCTTGCTCCAGGTAAGCACAGAGCTGGCATTGAGCACATCAGCACAAGAGAAAAAGAAAGCATTTTCAACTTTTGCCATACTGAACCTGGTCCTGGGGAATGAATTTGGTGACCTACAGAAAGAGATCTCGTTCATCCTGCACACTTGTACCTTTGCCACTTCAAGAGAACCACAGAGAATGGAATAATTTGTGTCTTGGTAAAACTCAGGGAGTTAAATTTTCAAGGGAAATGAATGTAATGCATTTAATTAGGGTTACTGTGACCATGAGCAAACCAGAGCACTTTCCCAAGCCTGTCACATTCCTGCTATTGTTGCTTCCGATTTAAATAGCACAAGGAGCTGCAGAGTGGGTCTACTCATGCTTAAACCATAATCATAAGAGGGTTGTTTGTCTCTGAAATCAGGAGCCCAGGCAGAGGAAGGAGGAGAGACAGCAATTGGAACAACCCACTCCCTTCTCTGCCCAGCTCCCTACCCAGCTCCCAGTGCAAACAAACAAACAAAAAAAAACAATCCTGGGCTGCCGCAAAGTAGGGTGGATTTCTGTTTGTTAAGATCCTACTTGGTACTGAGCCCTGTGGTCTGTTTTCTCATCAGCTGCTCACAAGAACCCGTTAGGTAGGAATTGCAGTCACCATGTTTACAGACAAGGAAGGGAGGCTCAGGGAGGTGATGCCCTTGTGGGAAGTCACACAGGTCAGTAGTGAATTAGAATTCAAATTAGAAATTTCGCTGTGAGACCTAACCTCCCGTTTCCTCCACACACCCCCTTAGATGCCCACTGAAGAGATCTAGGCATGCAGGGTTTAAAACCCAGATCCCACACCCAAAACCAGCAAACTGAAATCCTCACAAAGGGGCAGGAACAGGCAGTGGAAAGTTGTGGGTTCCCATTCTAAGACCTCTTTGGCTACTTGCTGTCTACGTAGCCTTGAGCAAATCTCTCAACCTTTCTGAGCCTCCACTCCCGCTCAATAATCTTAGGGTTGTTGAGATGATTAAATGAGAAAATACATGTAAAGTACAGAGCAGAATGAATGAATGAATGATAAATAAATAAATAAATAAATAAATAAATAAATAAAATGCCTAGCAGAGAGAACAATTTCCCCATCCTCATTCCTGCCTCCTCGAGTTTTGAGAAACCAAGACATAGCACTAGAGACAGAAATGCCTCAAAATCCTAAAATTTCCCTATGGAAGATTCCAGAGCAGGAATGTAATGTATACAACTTTCCTTCTCTGGGCCCAGCTACCTCATTCATCAGGTGGGCCCCAAATTAATTCCCACATCACAGGTTGCAATGACAATCAAAGGGAGGAATGTATATGACAGTAACAGAAAACTCTAAGAATCTTAAACAAGTTATGGCTTTTTTTCCTTTATTGTTTACCTTTGGATGTCTATGACATCACTCCAGTTAAATGTGGTCAACTTGCTATCAGGTCCCATCCAGACCCAGGGACAACAGGGAGGACACACAGTTCACAAGCAAAAACAAGGGGCGGGAACCACTCCATCCAACCATTACCCAAAACCTGACCCCGCCCAAATAGGACCCTATCCAACCAGGCCTCCCATGAGTAGGGAAGGTGTATCCTTAGGGACAGACCGGGTTTTAAGCCTTGGCTTGCCTTTTAACAGTTTCTTTTCATGGAACAGGCACAAAATTTGGTATCAGGAGCCTTGTGTTTCAACCCCAGATCTGCCACCTACTGGCTGTGTAACCTCAGAGTCACCTAACCTCTCTGAGGCTTATGGTTTTTATCAGGATTTAATAAACTAATATGTTTGACTGGTTAAGAATTGTGGCCAGGGATAGAGTGGTCCCTTCAGAACTGATTCAAGGAGTTTCAAACTTGAGCCTGGTGTGACATATACTCTGTCCTTGTTTACCAAGAAATCCAGCACATCACCTTTTGTGATGTTGCACCTCATCCTCTTGGAGATGCCTCCTAAAAAGACTTTCAAAGCCCTTGTGGGATGCTCCTATGGTGTGTCTCTTACTCATGTCAGAGCACCTTCCTGGGCAACCTGTAGCAAGTCAGTCCAATCTTGCCAAGGTAATGCTGGGCAATCTCAATGCTGGGAAATACCAGCTTCCAGTGGCCAAAATTCGAGAATCTCTTCTCTTCTCACCTGTGATTTGAAGCATCTCAGAACATAGTGGAGTGACCACGTCTGCATTTAAAATGTTCCTTCCAAATATGAAATTCTCTGGGCAGTGAGGGCAGTCTCTTAACCTATGGAACCATGGTGTTCTGCAGACTGGACCAGGTGTCAGCTGCAAAAATAACAGCACAGCGATCACTTCCCAATTTATGGAAATACATTAAGCCAATTGCTGGACATTTTTCAACTTCAAATTTTTTCTTATACCTATGTCACCAGTTAGTGCTTGTCCATGCTAGAATCTGGTATTGAATTATGTCATATATACTTAGCTATTTCAAATTTCATATATCAATATTTTATGGTTTTCCACAAATAGTGCAATTCAAGACATAGATCGTGTCAGCTCCCCTGCCCATCTCGGCCTGCTCACAGCTTGAGATACATAGTAGCTGTGAAACAAAGGCATTGACTCACAGATTTTCTTTTTAAAAGGGGAAAAAAGAAAAAATGGCCATATCAACATTTCTTTCTAAGCCCAACTCCTCAATTTGTAAAATGGATCTCATCCATTCTCACCTACTCGGAGTTCACTCCTGTTGATCTAACATTTCATTTTTCAGGTCCTCTTTATAGAAAAATTCTCAAGTAGATCAAGTGCTGAAGCTCACTATTAGCACTTTGTCTACTCCTTTTCTCTCCTGAAGTCACTGTAATCAGGTTTTTGGTCCTGCCATTCTGCTGGAAGAGCTCTTGCAAGGTCACCATGACCTCCATGGTGCAAAATCCAGTAGTCAATTCTCAATTCTCTGCTTTCTCAAATTCCCAGCTCATTTTACTCCTTCTTGGACCACTTTCTTCACTTGGTTCCCAAGACATGACTCTTGTGGCTTTCTTCCTGCCTCACCTCACCTCACCTCACCTCATTCTCAGTGTCCTTCCCTCGCTGCCCCTTGTGCCCCAGAGCTTGATTCTTGGGCTGCTTCTCTTTTTTGTTACTCCGTATCTATTTTTATTTCCTGGAGAATGATGATGATTTTAAAATACACTTTAAATGCCTTCTGTACTCTGACAACTCCAAAATATACATATCCAACCTGGATCTCTCCCGGAAATCCAGGCTTTTATCTACAACTGTCTCATTGACGTCTCCTCTTGGATGGCTAAATGACATCTTAGACCTAACAAGTTCAAACCAAACTCTTGTTTTTCCCATTTTAAATTTCCCTTCCAAACTTTTGCTCATTTTGGAACTGGCAGCTCCATTCTTCCAGGCGTCCAAACTCGGAATTACCCTTGGCTCTTCTTTCCCTCACATCCAGTCCATCAGCAAATCCTGCAAGCTCCATCTTAAAAATGCATCCACCTTTTACCACATCCGCTGTGTCTACCCTGGTTGAAGCCACAACGGTTTCCACCTGGATTCCAGCAATGGGCTCCTGACTGAACCCTCTGCTGTCTCCATGCTCCTTTCACTCTTTTCTCCCCACAACACCCAGAGTGATCCTGTGAAAAGGGGCTCACATCATATCCCTCCTTTGTCCAATATCTTCTGCATGCTTTACTCCATCAAGCCCTCTGTTCAAATGACATCTTACCAGAGAGCCCTTCTCTGATCACCTTATTAAAAATTACTAATCCCTATTGACCCACTGCACTCCTTTGTACTTACCCAACTTTATTTTTCTTCACAGACATATATTAAATTCCATATATCAATATTTTATGGTGTTCCACAAATTGTCTGATTTTATATATATATGTATGTATATAATATTGACTCCCCATAGATGCTAATGCTTTGAACACTTTGCCTTTTTATATTCACTGCTTTGTCCCTAGCACCTAGAACAGTGTCTGACTCAAAGTTGGTCAATAAATACTTGTTGAATGAATGAATGAAATGAATGAATAAATGACCCCAATACAAGAAGTGCCAAAATAGAAGATGAACACAGAACACAGCATGATTATCTGACTGTAGAGAAGGTCATAAGGGCAGCCTCCTGGGAGAAAGGGATCTGACATTGAGTTGGTTGGCATAAGTTTGAGAACCACTGTCCAATAACAAAGTAGAAATTATGCCCATTGAAGCTTGTACTTGATTCCAGCTCAAATATCACCATTCATAGGCATTCTTTTCTTTGGTAAGGGGACCAGGTGTGCCTGACTTCTAAACTCCTTTCACATAAGAGATCCTGCCTTTGGGTCTTCTTCCCAGTGCCCAGTAGAAATGGAGGCTTGTGGCTGTCAGTACAAGGCAACTTTAGTGTCCATGGTTCAGCCCACATAGAAAAGGGGCAATAAAGAAAATTTGCTCCGAAATTTTAAAGAGCACATTTGGCCAAACCAGACCTGCAGGAAGTTTAATGTTGCTGGAAATGTCCTGTTCTCTTGGAATGGCTGCAGCCAATAATGCTTTGAGAGAAAAGAATCACATCCATTCACAGAGGGGGCTCTGGAGAGAGCAGGTTAATTTCAGCAGCTGCCACTAGAGGTCTGTTCACAGCTAGAAATAAGAAGAGGCATCACTCCTGTAGCCTTTTCAGCGCTTCTGGAGAGAGCCTCCTGCCCCAGAGTCTGCCCCCAGAGCACACTGAGCTCACATCACACCTGCCAGTGCCTCTGCTGTGGTCTTTTTTTTACCCATCAGAAACCCCATGTTGGGTCTCCTCCCCCAAACATCATGGAAGGACAGAAAACCCCTTAGAAGTACTGACTGTCCTGAGCCATGGCTTGAAGGAAAGAGCTGAGGAAATGGTTCCTGGTCACTAAATAAACATTTCTACATTTAGTGGTAGCATTTGCAATTACCCAAAGCAGGTCTTCTTTCATGCAATAAATGTTTCCCTAAAGGCCTATCTAAAAATCAAGTTGTTTTCATGCAAAAGAGTTGAGAACTCACAATCTGAAGAAATACTTCAAGAATCCTGTGAGTAGTGACTTGATAACTCTGAATAATATATCTATTTGGTAGATTCATGCCTCGGGGTTGCTTTAAGTGGCTCTAAGACTTGTCTGTAGATGAGTTTGAAGTATCAATCCTGTGTGCTGTAGAGTTTGGTTATGCATTATGTGCACATCCATTAGGTATTTTTTACTGAGGTAAAATCTATTTAACATAAAATTTGGCTGGGTGCAGTGGCTCATGCCTTGACGTTGTATGGCTGTGTCCCCACCCAAATCTCAACTTGAATTGTATCTCCCAGAATTCCCCTGTGTTGTGGGAAGGACAGGGGGGTGTAATTAATCATGGGGGCCAGTCTTCCCTGTGCTATTCTTGTGATAGTGAGTAAGTCTCACGAGATCTGATGGGTTTATCAGGGGTTTCTGCTTTTGCTTCTTCCTCATTTTTCTCCTGACTAGATTTCAGAAGGTATGTGGAAACGCCTGGATGTGCAGGCAAAAGTTTGCTGCAGGGGTGGGGGCCTCATGGAGAACCTCTGCTAGGGCAATGTGGAAGGGAAATGTGGGGTCGGAGGCCCCATACAAAGTCCCTAGTGGGGCATCACCTAGTGGAACTGTGAGAAGAGGGCCACCGTCCTCCAGAACCCAGAATAGTAGATCCACTGACAGCTTGCACCATGTGCCTGGAAAAGCCACAGACACTCAACACCAGCCCATGAAAGCAGCTGGGAGGGAGGTTGTACCCTGCAAAGCCACAGGGGTGGAGCTGCCTAAGACCATGGGAACCCACCTCTTGCATCAGTGTGACCTGGATGTGAGACCTGGAATCAAAGGAGACCATTTGGAACTTTAAAATTTGATTGCCCCACTGGATTTCAGACTTGCACGGACCCTGTAACCCCTTTGTTTTGGTCAATTTCTCCTATTTGGAATGGCTGTATTTGCCCAATGCCTGTACCCTCATTGTATCCAGGAAGTAACTAGCTTGCTTTAGATTTTACAGGCTCAGAGGCAAAAGGGACTTG